>NW_025791773.1:0-113364 GCF_000001405.40 Homo sapiens | reverse complement strand
ACAGCTAACGTCCAAAATGGGACGTGCCACTGACTCTGCTTCATAATTGGCACTCATTATTGTGCCCTAATAGAAGCTAATGGAATTTTCAGCCTCCTCAAATCATGGAAATAAGAATATGATGTTGATGGATCTTATCCATTGATGGATCTGGGTCCAGGATATTCTTCCTTACTCGAGGAAGTATCAAGTATTTAGGGACTTAGTTTTCTCATGTGCAAAATCGTAATAATTGTACTTTCCTTTTGCATTTTGTTCAAACATCTGTGGTACTTGTAGAGTGTCTTGAGATTAGGCTGTTAAATGAAGTAGTTACACCTTGAGTTATTGGGTTTGGCCCAGTAGCTAAAAGTCATTTGGTATTTGTCATGGTTTCAAATTCCGTGTCCCACGTCCATGTGTAGAGACAGCCCCCGCTGATGGCATTAATGAATACAGTGAGGGGTGAGGCATGCCAGGAATATCTGTGACACAAAGCATGGAGAACTCTGACATCGCATTCTCCCAACGTCTAAAACACATATGTATGCAAACTAAATGTCTTCTCAACACCGATGCAATTGAATATGAGTATTATGTCATTAGTTTTCTTTCACAGACTTAATGCACATGAAGCAGGAGTTATTATTTCAAAAATAAATGTTATAATCTAAAGCACAAGGCCACATTGAAGCAATGTGTTTTTATTGACTATGTCTTTGACATTTTTGCATTTACACCAGAAAACTTCAATTTGACAACTTGTAGGAGATTTTGCATGATTAGGTGACAATTAATCTATGACTTTGAATGCACAGTGAATGATGTGTCTGTCATGCTTTTTAAAGAGCAGCACATGTGTTTTGAATATTAAAACTTGATTAAAGGAGACTATTTTAGCTGACAAGTGACTGATGAATAGATATGTAAAATAACAGGATAACAGGATAACTAATAAATTTATTAACGCATATTTTCTTATTTAAATAAAACAATTAGGTATTTTGATTATGCAGTCTTTTTTATTAAATAATATTTTCAATTGGCTGTGGTGCATGTAAGGTAGAGAAACAGATGAAACCGTGAAGAGAAGGGAGTGGCTGAGGCAGGAGACATGTATGACCTATTACTTGTGTACCCTTGCACCTAAGATTAGGTAAGACGCTGATGGCTACTGAGCATATGCTTGTTCCTCCCCTTAATTCTATCTTGTTGCTTGCACCCTTACTGCTTTTTACAAGCCAGTTGCTACACTATATCCTGGTCCTTTCCTATTAGCCAAGTTTTCCCAGTGACAGGTTAGGAGAAACAGTGATCAGGAGTCTGGGAGTTCTTGCCTACTGGTGCCTGTGGGAAAGCTGTGGCTACAGTAATGTTTTCTCCATGCTCCACCGTTACCGCATGTATTTAAATATGAAACTGCTAACCATAATAAAGTAAGAAGTAGGAATCTTAGCCATATTTCTCATTGCCTCAGTGTCTGATTTAACAATGTCATAAAAAATCCAAATAATGGACTACGAAACAAACTTAAATTTTCATTTTCTTCGTTTCTACAATCCTTACCATTTGAATTATTTACACCTTACCTTGGACAGTCCTATTATAAATTATGCAAATAAACCTGAGTAGGTTGTAAAACATCTCTCAAAACTTGGTGTGCTCAAAAATCCAGTAAGGTGGTTATTGAAAATGGAGATTTCTAGGCTCCATTTATTGAGTTTTTAATTAAGATGTTTAGGACAGGGTCCAGAAATTTTTCTTTTTAATAAGCACCCAGATTATTCTGCTGTGGGTGGTCCATTATCAGGTCTCTAGGAAATACTGTTTTAAGACATTCCAATACATTGTTAAATTTTCTCTCTTGGAACTTATAATCGTCATTTATAAAGTGCTAAATCTGCCAGGCATCATTCTGAGTGCTTGGCATGTGTTCACTTGTTTAATCTCACAGCTGGGGAGATGGGTACTGTCACGATCATCCTGTGGATGGGAGGCTGATGTTGACTCCAATTGAGTTACCTGCTAGCTGTGAAAAAAACTAATTCCAAGCTTCCAAAATCAGTGTTCTCATCTGTAAAATAGGAGGGACAAGAAAATCACTGTAAGGATTCATTAGAAAGCACTTAGAGCAAGGTAGATACCACTTGGGAAAGGTAATTTAATTAAAAAAGAAAAATGTCTTTAGTGAATGTCAAATCCCCCGGGCGCTGGAGAAAGCCGGAGTGAGTGCAGTTGTTACTGTCCTTTCTGCCTGATGAAGACTCAGCCTCTGCCCCCTGTGCCGTACATCACTGAGGAACAACCAAGAAGAAAGTCCAGCAGCTATAGATACAAATAACCATTTTCTGTTTACTTGCTTTTTAAATCAGAGTAATTTTTTTAAAAAAACTTAAAATAGTGCAATGATGTTTGGAACCAGATTATAACAAATGCCTGGGATTATTTTTCTAAAGAGGAGAACAAATATTTTGGTATAAACTTCTCTTTAAATATTGATAAGATTTTATATATAATATACATAAATATATAATATATATAAAATACACAAATGTTATATATAATAAAATATAAAATATAATATACCATATATTAATATAGTATATATGTTATGTATATTTTGTAGAGATGGGGTCTAACTATGTTGTCCAGTTTTATCTCAAACTCCTCACCTCAAGTGATCCTCTCACCTTGGCCTCCCAAAGTGCCCAGATTACAGATGGGAGCCACAAAGCCTGGCCTATATTTTTCCATGTATTTTCCCTCTTCCTTTTGGAATTTTGGTGGTGGTTTAGAGCTATCACAAATTAATAAGCCTAGTGGTGATAGTAGAAATACACATTAGATTCAATTATGGGACTTGAGGAGTCTAATAAAAGAAATCAGCAGGAAGGTAGCGGTGAGAGCTAAGACAGCTAAGATGGAAAGGGAAGAGTACTCTGTCTTGAAGCATCAATTAAGCTTAACGTTTTGAATAAATGGACAATCTTTAAAAGATTAGCTTGATTTAAATCACTCATTTAAATGTTTCTACTCTGTGGCCTAAAACCTTGACAAATGAAACAATAACCCTGACTTTGGTTTGCAAATGCAATGCACACATTGATTTTTCTCCGATAGAGCACCTGCCTTTGAATGCCCTAATGCACCTCACTATTACCACTTACTCTTTTACGAGCTTCCACCACCCTTAAATGGAGTCGCTTGTCTTCCTGGAGTGAAGAAGGGTGTCAGCACTTTTTTTTTTTTTTTTTGTAGTTCTAGATCAGTCCACGGATCATGCATTTATCGTTCATCCGTGTTTGTCTTTCTGTCTCTAAAAATGACGATTTAGTTTTGAACTACTTGTAGCAATATTTAACCACTGACCCTTTTAATTACTTGCTCTGCTGACACAAGCAGAGCACTCTCGGAGTCGGGAA
The DNA here is from genome assembly GCF_000001405.40 of Homo sapiens. Lineage (NCBI taxonomy): Eukaryota > Metazoa > Chordata > Mammalia > Primates > Hominidae > Homo > Homo sapiens. The sequence goes on along the minus strand of NW_025791773.1, from coordinate 109,963 downwards.
AAAAGCCTCGCGCATGAAAATTGAATTCAAACAGCAAATGGCTGCACCTTTCCCATTAGCTCTCCTGCCAAATTTATAGCGCAATAAGCAAGCCTGAGGCCAACGTTTACAGCAATTGAGGGCCTGCATGCAGTGAATAATAGGAGAACGTAATTGACAGAGTCAGTCTGAAGCAGAAATATGTGTAGACAAGGAGAAACAATAAAGCCGGAATCCATCTCCTCTTCCAATTAAAAATTTCAGTTGAATGAGCCTTTTTCTAATGGTGAACTCTGAAGAATTGCGGGTCTGTCACAGGTTTCTGTGTTTATGGAATAAATATTCAACATTCATGACTCATTCAGTTCTAATTAGTGAGATGATGGGTAGTTACTTAGCATACCTTACTTATTTTAGAAACACCACTTCATCTTCATTCTATGGATAAGCAACAGGTCCTCAAAAAATAATGAGTTTTCTCTCTGGTTTCAGGCATCATTTATTGAATACCTAATGCATGCACCATATTGTTCTTGCATTTTGTGTTTACATAATTTATTCCATTCATTTGATAAAAAAACATGGCAATATCTCCCTAGCCAAAATCAGTGAGGTACATGAGAAGACTGGATTGTTGAATGATTCAGAGGCTAAACAAAGCTTATAACTCAGTCCCAGGACTGGTATTTGATTAGGGAATCTTGGTTCCAACATGGGGAGCGAAGGTTAATCTGGGAATTATGAACTTGGAATTACTTTTCTACCTTTTTGGGTTATTTTATTTATTTATTTTTTTGAGTCTCACTCTGTTGCCCAGGCTGGAGTGCAGTGGCACCATCTCAGCTCACTGCAACCTCCACCTTCCCTCCCAGCTGAAGCGGTTCAGCCTCCCAAGTAGCTGGGACTATATGTGGGCACCACCACACCCAGCTAATTTTTGTATTATTAGTAGAGAGGATGTTTGCCATGGTGGCTGCTCTCCAACTCCTAGTCTCAAATGATCCACCCGCCTCGGCCTCCCAAAGTGCTGGGATTACAGGTGTGACCCACCACACCCAACCCCTCTTTAGCTTACTTCATTTTTCAGTAAAATTTTTTCAAGTATAGAATTAATATTGTTTTTCATAAAAACAGAATATACAAAAAAAGGGTAAGGAAGGAAGGTTACTCATAAATATATTACTTAATGACAACCTCTATTAATATTTTTCTATATTTCATTCCATTTGCTATTTTATACACACATAAGTGGTAGATTTAACAACTAGAACCTGATAGAATGCAGTTATAAAATCAATAATTTACATTTCAACGTTTCCTGTTAAATTTGCTGTCTTGAATACTTACCTCCTCTCCCTCAGGTGAAATCTCAGAGAGTTTACTTATTCTTTCTGGTAACTCCTATATAAAATATGTCCAATGTAAGATGACAACTCCAGACTTCAGGATTTCTGTCACTTTTACCTTGTGGCCTAGTTTTATCATCTCTGGGCATGTTCTTTATAACATTAGGGATAGAACTTCGGGATATGCTAGGTATTTGAAATATATTTGACCTCAGCTATCTTGAGACAGACAAGACCTCATTTTACATGTTACATGTGGTCAGGCTTACATACAAATAAGTTCCTGCTTTTTCATCTAACATAAACAGAAGCATTTTTCTATATTGTGAGAGGAACCTATAAACACAGTATCTGGTGACTGTGTAATAGTGCATTGTTAGAAAATGCCACATTTTCTTTAACAATTCCGATATTGTCGTTTTCATTTTTTAATCAATGTTAAATATATCTTTAAGAATAATTTTAAAATGTAAATCCTTACCTAGTTTTTAGAATTATGTTTTAGAATGAATTCCTTGACATAAAATCAGTGGATCAAGGGATGTGAACATTTTAAGGCTCTTCATATGCTTGCTCTGTACAATTTTCAAAATATTAAAATTAATTTACACTGTTAACAGCTACATTTGATGATATCCAACTTAGTACACCTTGACCAGTGGTGGGTTTTGTTTCTCTATGTTCTTTGCCTAGCCAATTTACTGAACTCTGTTATTCGTTTTAGAAGTTTTAAATTTTGAGTGTGTGTATTTTCAAAACTGAACTCTCATCTACAAAAAGGGTCATTCATCTTTTTTCTTTACACACATATGCTAACTTTCTCTGTTTGCAGTTGATTCCACTGGACGCAACTCAAGCAACAGTGTTAAATGACGATGGGGAATACACGTGGGGCAGAGGGACCGGGTGCCTCGTGACAGCGCCCCACTCAGGCCCCAGCTGGAACTGAGCGCAGCCCCCATCCGGGGAACGGGGACAGTCTCCCCCTGGTGGAGCCGCTGAGGTGTGTCCGCCAGCGACGGCGGAATCGCTCACTGCGCACCGTCCTGACTCCTCAATACAAATACGGGTAAGAAAATGCTTCAGCTGTGGGGAAGTAACAGTCATGGAGAGAGGCTGCTCCGTCTCCTCAGCTCACCCTGAGTGGAGTGAAAAAAGAACCACCGGGCCGAGCGCGGGGGCTCACGCCTGGAATCCCAGCACTTCGGGAGGCCGAGGCGGGCAGATCACGAGGTCAGGAGATCGAGACCATCCTGGCTAACACGGTGAAAACCCGTCTCTACTAAAAATACAAAAAAATTTAGCCGGGCGTGGTGGCGGGCGCCTGTAGTCCCAGCTACTCGGGAGGCTGAGGCAGGAGAATGGCGGGAACCCGGGAGGCGGAGCTTGCAGTGAGCAGAGATGGAGCCACTGCACTCCAGCCTGGGCGACAGAGCCAGACTCCGTCTCAAACAAACAAACAAACAGAAAAGAACCACCGGAAGGACGTGGGGTGCCTGCACTGTCCCCCATCTCCCTTGATTAGGGGTGGTGATGCTCTCTCAGGGGAACGTTACTCCCCGTTAGAGGGTGGAGTGCGCAGTGTGTGACCCAAATGTCCAGGGAAGGACAGGGAAAACGCCCCCGCGTGCCCAGCCGGCCAGTGGAGCCCACGGCGGGTCCTGGAGCTTGAGACATTGGGCTGGTGCAGAGCTGGAAGCCCCACGGTAGATCACTGTGGACTCAGGAAATCACACAGCCGGGAAAGTGCTCGGAAGACAGAACACTATTTCTAGTATTTACTGGGAAAATAAAATAGTTTTATCTTTATACTGAAATAATATATATTCCCCAACAAAACAGTGATATATGTTACATGTTCTTTAGATATACTGGGCATACTTCGTATTTCACTTTAAGAACATTCTAGGCAGGGGTTTTAAATAAAAGGTTTTTGTTTGTTTGTTATCAGGTTAAAGAAGTATTCTGCCTGTCTCTTCCTGGTGTTGCCTCTTCTCATTATTTCTATTTACTCAGTCTGTACCCACTAAAATCTAACTTTTAATCCAACACTACACCCAAACCAGCTTTTGCTAAATTCAGTAATTACCTCCAGCCTGCAGTATTTGTGTTCAGTTTGCTCCTGTGTGGCCCCTCTTCATCATTTTCTGCTGTTGCCCATTCTCCTTCGGTGACCTGGGAGACTCCTCAGCCTCATTTTAACCCTGACCTTTCCAGCTCGTCCTTCTCTGCCTGCTTTGTGGGGTAATTTTCTTCCTCTAGGCCACCAACGTTTGGAGTTCTGGAAAGCTTGGGTTTGGGCCCTTTTGTCTCAAATTATTCCCTCTCGCTCTAGTCAATCTCATCTATGGTCCTGGCTTCAATTAACACCCAATGTGCATGATTCACAAGGGCATTTTTTTTTCCTGCCCAAATCTCTTTTTAACTCAAGATTGGGATTTTTAAAAAAATTATCCACTTACATCTTATTTTTTCTAATTTCTGAGACAATTCCGGGACTTTACCTTCTGGTTCTTCCATCGAATTTTTACTTGATTTTTACTTGGATGATGCCAACAGGTTATTCTTATTTTCTCATTATTCGAATTACATCATTCTGTCTTCACTTTATGAATGAATATTCATTTGACTTTATTCTACAGGTAGCATTTCAGATTTGGTGATGTTCTCTTCTATTCCCAAAAATGAGCTTTTCCTCATTTGATCCGACGGTTTTTGTTTTGTGTTTTGTTTCAATTATTTTTGTTTGTTGACTCGTACTTTTTGCCAGCTCTGGTTAAGGATGTGAAGCTTATAAACTAATTGCCTGTGTTTTGGTTGATTGGAAAAAGACAAAAAAAAATGAGAAACACAAACTCCCAACATTTGGTGGTCTTTGCTCTGGGGCCAGGTTACTCCCCTGGCTGCTGGAAGATCTTTGTATCCTCTCGTCAGCTCACCTTGAGGGGAGTGTACATATTTTTTGAAGGGTCCATGTTTTATTTTATTTTGCAGCTACAGAGCAGTTGTTTATGAAGACATTCTCCTTTTTAGTTCAGCAAATCTCTTACAATTAAACACTTTCCCTCTGCATTTATAAGACACTAACTTGTCCTCATATGTAGAGATTATTTTGATGGTGCCAGGCTGGCATCACTTTTTTCTCGTGTCTAGGCTTGGTGCTGGTGAGGCTCAGGATGTTCCTGTGCTTTCAGTCCTCACCACTGTCAATTACATGACAGTCGTTTTCTCAGAATTCAGATAGGGGTTGATATGAATGTTTCTTACTCAACATTCTGGTATTATAAGGTATTGGTGGGTAATTTTGAAAATCAATTCTTTAAAGTTGCAGGATTTCCTTCAGACCATGTGACTTAGTATTTCTGATGTGAGGGACACAATTTATTCCTGAGTTTTAAAAATATTTCCATAGTACATTTCTCCCTGATGGCCTCCTCATATCCAAGGTAGACATTTTCATTGTCTTCCAACTTCCACTCTTGGATATGTTTACTTATCAGTTTATATAAAATGTTTAATTGATTTTAAAAGCATGCTTAGGTTCAAAAAATTTAAAAGTACACACAGAAGAGGTCAAAATATATGAAGCAGAGAAATCTGCTTATTTTATTTTTTAATTTATGTATTGTATAGTCAGCCTCTGTAGAAGCAGCGTGTAAGAATTTGAGTATTCCATTTTTAAAATAATTGTTACAAAATACATTAACTATTCACTTCAACACAGGCTACTTTTTTCTTAACAATGTATCCTTTTTCAACGACGTATGAATTTGAGCCGTTTGTTTTAAAGTTTTCCACATCATGGTTATGGCTGACTGCATTGCTGTGGTGTTACCATTTTCCTCTACTCAGCTTCCATACTTTTGGAATGCTAGTACAACTTTATTAGATGCGACCTATAGGAATTTGGGGCTTTAAATGCTAAGCATTCTCTAAGTAAATTTTGCTTTTTGTCTTTCTCTTTTGTGAGTTTTGTGAATTTAGGGACTAGGAGGCCCCTGAGAACATATTGATTCATTTGTTTTGTTTAGTGATATATTCATCATCCATTCAACCACTATTTAGACTCTATCCCCAAGTTTTTGTGCATAAAATAATGAATTAGAATATTATGATTTTGACCATTAAATATAATTACCAGTAGATTAATAGATTTAATATAAAAATATTTCTTTTAACTTATGTAGTTTTAATTAGTTGATATGCATAGACACTTTTTATGATTAAATAGGTGAGCCTAAACATCGCATACCATCCATGCTGTAATAACTTAAGCAAGGTATTAATCTGAAAGTATTTGACTCTGATGGGCTTTGTCTGAGCAAACAACTTCTGTCACAGTCCGTCTAGAACCACAAATAATGCTTCCCCTGGTCTCATGTAATGGCATTGCCTCTCCTCTCTGTCACTACTGTTTTAATGGTAGCATTTTTTTTTTTTTCTTTGAGACAGAGTCTCGCTCTGTCACCCAGGCTGGAGTGCAGTGGCACAATCTCGGCTCACTGCAACCTCTGCCTCCCGGGTTCAAGCGATTCTCCTGCCTCAGCCTCCTGAGTAGCTGGGACTACAGGGAAGCATCACCACGCCCAGCTAATTTTTGTATTTTTAGTAGAGATGGGGTTTCACCATGTTGACCAGAATGGTCTCCATCTCTTGACCTCGTGATCCGCCCACCTCAGCCTCCCAGAGTGCTGGGATTACAGGTGTGAGCCACCGCACTCGACCTCGTGATAGCTTTTTATAAATACTATTGATTGTAATGCTGCTAAGCAGGCCTCTTCTTTCTGAGGCTTGGTGAGGCGTTTTGTCACCTTCCAAAGCGGGGTTCATAAGTAGGTTAGGAATGGGTAGGAAGATACCACCTGTACTCATTGTAAGATTAAAATAAGTTTCTGACTTACTTAGCCAAGAGTACAGAAACTTTCCTTAAATGAAACTGTTATTGGTAGAGGGTGTCCAGGTTCTGACATTTTGAACAAAGAGTTGGACAAAATGCACAAACAAATCAAGGAAAGAATGAAGCAACAGAAGCAGAGATGTATTGAAAATGAAAGTACACGACACAGGGTGGGAGGGGCCGAGCAAGCAGCTCAAAGGCATGTTCAGAATTTCCTGTCGTTTAAATACCCTCTAGAGGTTTCCCATTGGTGACATGGCTTCCGTTGTATGTAAATGAAGAGGTGAAGTGAGGTTATAAAGTGATTTCCTTGGTGTACACCCTATGCAAATAAAGAGAATGAAGTGAGGGTACAAAGTGATTTCCTTGGTGTACACCCTATGCAAATGAAGATGTTTCCTGGCATGGCTGAAGTAGAGTTAGAGTTATTTACTTGGTCACAGAGCTTGATTTAGTTCTGTGAATTCCCTAGGTTCCCTGCACCCAGGCCCTATTTTCCTGTCTCAAAATGATCATACATGTAGAGTAGAAGCGAATAAAGCATTTTTGAGAGGGCTGTTGTTTTGGTGTTGGTTTTGGCATTTGCATTCTCTAGTGCACGTGGGATGCAGCTACTCCCCATGCAGCGAGGCCACACTCACACTCAGTTTAAGTACATGCTCACCAACATAGGCCTTCCCTGCTTTGTAAACTAACCACAGCATCGGCAGCCAACTTTCCATTCTTGGAGAGAAGGGGAAGTCAGAGACCACGTGTTTTTGAACATTGTCTTTGCTCTCTGACTTCCAGCATCCCCAAAAATCCCATTTTCTCTTAAACAACCACCTTACTCTGACTGGATACTTTTTATCTGAGTGGTTTTGATCATGAGTTTGGTCCTAGGACCAAGGACCACAATTAGAAGTTTATTTTCCCGTACTACATCAGTCATGTATGGATTATAATGCAAACAAAATGATTCTACCCATTTGTTGTACTTCTCATTACCGTTCCACTCTCTGGATATCCTTAGTCACATAAAAAATGCACATGCACGAACACAGAGACAACAAAAAAGAAGAAATAACATAATTAGGCAGATTGTTAAATCCATCTTTCTATGTCTACTTCTAAACAATGTGCCTCCTAATTTATCTTCTAACAAAAGGATTTCTTTAGGGGAAGGCATGACTATGAAAACAAAATGACCCAATATTCTCAATGATTTTTAAAACATTGTCTTCAAAAACTGTGTATAAAAATTTTAAAAATCCATACAACTCTTCATTGCAGTATCTTTATACTGAGTATCTATAGACTATTTCAGTATAATAACACAGAGAATACAGGTGTCATTAGAGTTACTCTGCAAAATTGCTAGAATATCCATAACATGGGCTTATTTCCATTTATCTGGAATTTAAAGTCAGAGGCCAACAATGGCTTCCTCTGAAATTAAAACTGGGTTTGAATCTGGCTCCCACCATTTAATTTACTAGCCCTGTATCCTTGGGAAAACAACTTTTGTCTATTTAAGTTTCTTTTATAAAATTTAGATAATGACCGTTGTACCTGCCTCCAAAGCTATTCTGGTATTGATTGAAGGGATGCATGTAGAGCAATCACATGCCATCCACCACCTTTTCAGTAAGGTTAGTTTCTTGTATTGTTATCTTGTACCCCACAGATGACTAATCACTTCGTTATTGCCAAAATGTATTTTTTAACAATGTTCTAATTCTAGAGACAATAGAACATTGATATTTTTCAAAAAACATCCATTTGCAAATGTGATATTTCTCACATGTCAAGTGTCTCTTTCTTTCTCAGGGAATATCTAACAGTAGTGAAATAAAAATACTTACATTATGGGCCTTGTAAAATAGAAATCAGATGAAAATATAGTATCCAAATTCATTTTTTAACCAAAAAATAAATTCATAGAAATATTAGTGGACTTTTTCTCTCACCTCTATCAACTGTATATATTGGGAGAGAATGTGCATACACATATGTGTCTATATCTGTATCTAGCCACGTCTATTTCTAGTATATTTCAGTTCCTCTCCATTTGTGCAGCAGTAACCTGGATCCAGATCATTACAGTTCAAGAAAATCTACTATGCTATTTGTATAGTAGAAATTAAACCCTCAATTTTCATTAATTATTGCTTTTTCTTATAATAATGATCTTCGGAATTTTTTTAATGAATTGTCTGTATTTAGCTATTTTTCTATTGTACGATGTACACTGTGGGGTATTAGCTTAGCCTGTGTCTCATTTTAAAAATATTGTCCACAGCCTGCAATCACTTTTAAAGAGGTGGGTCTAGGTGGAGAGGAATGTGCTATTTGACCTGGCCTCCCTCACCTTAGCTGTTTGGACCTGCGATGGAGTTTTGTCTCAAGGTAAACTAATCCAGGGGCTGGGCTGTTTATGTACTCTCTTTGGAAAATTTGAGCAAAAAGTCTCAGAAAAAGTAAGTATTAGTGAGTGTGAAACTAACATAGAGCTGTCACCAAAACAAGTCAAAGCCACATGCAAATAGAAATTATGGGGCAGAAGGAAGGCATTATTAAAGAGAAGAAGCCATTGTGTCCAGAAAAAAAAAGGAAAACAAAATTGGGGAGCTCAGGAGTGGAGCAGCAGTCAGCTGCCTCTAGTGGCTGTGATGAGCTGTGCCCTGTCCCAGGAGCTCTGAGGAAACTCCTTCTCTTGAGCCACATTGACTGACTTGCAGCCTTGTTTGTAAATTTGCCTGACTGAAGTGTTTGTCTTGTTCTGTAAGGCTAAGACTTCTCTCATTACATATATTTTTCCTAATGTCCTCCTTTTCTAACTACATACAATTTAATTGTGATATATTTTAAAGCTATAAGTAATAAGATTGAACAAATACAAGGCAAATCATGAGTTACAGAATGTATATACTTGGAAAAACAAAAGACATTTTTATGTAGAATATGTTTATGTAACAACCAATTGACATACATTTATGTACTACTGTGGAGGTCCACTGTTGGGCCACAGATGGGGTGTTAGGAGATGCTGTAAAATCACTGGCCCATTAATAAGTCATATTGTTTCATACAGTTTAATATTTTAAAATTTTGAAACTTTAATAAAAACAATTTTATTCAGAAGTGCTTTAGCCTACAGTGATGCTATTATCATTGTAGCATGCATGCAAAATCCAAGGTGTAAAAACTTGCGGTGAACTAACACAATTTGGGTCGATTATATTTGATTCTTAATGACATTTTTGTAGTATAAGGCAAAGGCCACGGCCAGCTTATTGAATAGGATTATTAATTGACTTTGAATGTAAATAGCGGACAATTCTAATTGAATTACATTTGTCTCAGAAAATGCATCTAATACTATTTATTTATTTTCTACCTTAAGCTACTCCTAACACCTTTTTTATTTTTATGTGTGTGTATATATAATATATATATTATAACATATATATATTTTGAGAGAGGGTCTAGCTCCCTTGCCCAGGCTGGAGTGCGGTGGCGTGATCTCGGCTCACTGCAACCTCCACCTCCTGGGGTCAAGTGATTCTCCTGCCTCAGCCTCCTGAGCAGCTGGGATTACAGGTGCCTGCCACCAGGTAATTTCTGTATTTTTAGTAGAGACGGGGTTTCACCACGTTGGCCAGGCTGGTCTCGAACTCCTGACCTCAAGTAATCCCCGCACCTTGGCCCCCACAAAGTAATTCCCCACAGAGGTTACGGGTGTGAGCCACCCTACCTGGTCCCAACACCATTTTTTAATAGCAGAATTTCATACTAGACACTTCCTTAATATTATTTTATCTATGTGAGCATGGTTTCATCTCTAATAGATTCTTTTTCTTCCAAGCCTTCAAAAAGACTCTGACTGTTCATTTATGTTTTTATAATTTTGCTAAAGTATTAGAAACTCAAATGCTGCTAGATCATGCAAGAACAATGTAGTTCCAACAACCTTTTGGAGAACAGATGAGCTCTGTTGAGTTTATGACTGAAGACAGTGTGTGTGATGACACACGTGGAGACAACGCCGTGGCGGACTTCTCTGTGCTGTTAGTGTTGGTGCATGCTGCCTGGGAGAGCCGCTGCAGCTGTGTTTGCTCTGTGTGTGGTGTGTGCCAGCCCAGACACCATCCCAGATGAACAGCTCTTATCCAAAGGTAAACTGATGATACTGACAAGGCCTAACACAGAAAGATGAAGCCAAAGAGACTAGGAGAATCAGAAAATTTATGTAATAAAGACTTGAGATTATTTTAAGTGGTCATTTGGAAATACAAAAATACAGCTATTTTTCCCACTGCCATTTTTGTTAATGTCGACAGTGTGCCAAAATTCATTCTTCCTTACTATGAGACGTACTTGACAGATGCCACAGTTGATTTGAGAAAGAGTTAAAGTTGGTGCTCAGGAAAATGAAAATGAAGTCATTTACATGTCTTTATGCCTAGATTTTAGCTATGTGATTTTATGTAAAAATCCTCAAAGTTAGAGGCAGCAAACCAACATGGCACATGTATACCCGTGTAACAAACCTGCACATTCTGCACGTGTATCCCAGAACTTAAAGTTAAATTTAAAAAAGATTACATATAATGGTGTCAAAAAAATCCTCTAAGTTAACCTTGTCCTTGCAATTTTCCGCAATTAGTTCAAAAATCAAAGCAACTCTAATGGGAAAATAAGCTTTAATATAAAATATTTTCAGTTATGCTGTTAAGTTAGTATGTATATTTTCCTAAAAATGAATATTTTAGGTGTTGGGGTAGTTAAGAGGAGAAAATATATTGTCATTGTTGCTTGACTGGTTCTCTTGAGTCACTGTAACAATCTGTCAATAATTAATTGAAATATTCCATTCAGTCTTCAACCATGGCTCAGTTGACATGGTTTATGAGGCACAGTAAAACGTCTAAGAACAGTTATTCCTAAACATTTCACTGTGCCTAACTGCGCCTGAAATATTAAAACCCATGACAGAAGCACATATTATGTTTACTGTTGTACATAAGTATAATATTGCATTTTTCAGGGTATTATGATCCTATAATCAATTTCTATTGATAGATGAATTATAAATATGAATTGTCAGAAGGCAATACACAGACTTATTTCTCTTATTTGATACTGTATCTATAAACATCAGGGCATTAAAGCAATTTTTTTTTTTTCTTGAGACGGAGTCTCGCTCTGTCGCCCAGGCTGGAGTGCAGTGGCGCGATCTCAGCTCACTGCAACCTCCGCCTCCGGGGTTCACGCCATTCTCCTGCCTCAGCCTCCCGAGTAGCTGGGACTACAGGCGCCCGCCACCACGCCCGGATAATTTTTTGTATTTTTAGTAGAGACGGGGTTTCACCATGTTAGCCAACACCAAGAGTAAATATATATATTTACTTGATAGGATTCGTTTAGTATCCAAATTGGGACTCCAAGCAGGGTAATGAAAACAGAATAGCAAGACTTAATTTCTTTTCTTTTTTTCCTACTTGTCTACCTGATGATCCATTTCTTTTACCATTTTTAGTATGGAAATCTCATTTTTAGCATGGTATGATTTAGAAATATCAAATGTATTCCTATGATCATAAAAGGAAATACAATGAGACCGATTGGGTGTAAAGTTGCACTCTCATGGAACTACATTTCAGGATGTGGCAGATTTGAGAATTCTAGATGAATTTGCTGCCTGTTCCCTGATAAAATGGTGTTCAGGGTGTCCAGGCTTTAATGTCCTATTAAAGGCAGTAATGGGTGCCCTGTCACTTTAACTCACCTTCAGGGTCCTATTAGAAGCATGTCTTACATTATTTCTCATATAATGATATCCACCTTACACCTATTAAGAACATGGGAAATCAGTTGAGCTGTGTTGAGCTATGTCCACCCTTAAGGCAAACAAATGCCTTGGAGCTCAATGGTTCTGAGGCAGAAGTTTTAGCATTGTGCTGCGAGTCTGCTTTTTCCAAACATGCCACACAGATTGAACACTGTGTGAAGGACAACTGAGGTTAGACAGGAAATATCTCAACAGCTATCAGTCAGAATGGGGTCACCTTTAAACTCTAGAACTAGGAACAACAGAGTACCATCTCCTGTTTTGAATAGTTATATTTTTAATAAGATTTTTAAAAAATTCTGGGTTAAGGGATGCACTTAACAATTCAAGAAAAATTGATTTTGAATGAATATAAAGAAATTAAGGGAGATTGAATTGAATTAAAAGAAGACATACAAAGATTTTTATGTTATATTATTACATTATTAAATATATACATTATATATAGTAAATATATATTTACTATATATTTATTTACTATAAATGTATGCTATATATAATATGTATTCATAATATAATATATAATAGTATATATTATATATGCCATATATATTATACTATATGTATGGAGAGGGAGTAAATGTATATGGTATGCATTAAGGTGTTCTTTCCGAAATTACGGATAGTGTATTCCTAAGTGTTGAATTTGAACTTCTGAACAGCATGATCATTTTTTTTTAACACAAAACATTTGTAATGGAGATTTCAAAAAGAACACTAAAAAACAATCATTAAATATCCCTTCCCTTGCTTCTCAAGACACGTAGCCAAGAAAATGGGTAGAATCATTGCTTTTTATTTGTTACGAGCTGACAGTACACACAGCAGTGTGCTAATCATTTGTTTTCTTAGGGGTATGTGTGTTTTATCAGTTACCATTCACACGGAGAATAAAGAATTTCTGTTTTGCTAGTATAACAAGCTAAGGAACTGGGGAATGCTTTGTATTTGTGGACATTTCTATTGTTTTGTTCTGCTTTTTTTTTTACATTTTTAATTTTAAAAAATGTGTGGTAGTGGTTATTTCTCGCATTGGTCAAAAAGAGAGAAAGCAATAAAACTTTCATGAGTTCGTGAAAGTTTTACAGGCCCTGCAGTGCCTGGAGGAAGAGTTGCTGCTATAATTCTCTGCAGTAGTTCTGGCTGGGTGGCATCTTATTCATCATGGGAGGAGGGATTGGGGATGAGGATTGGAAAGGGACAAAGGAGATGCCAATGCCACATGCTGAAATGCTCCCAGGACAAAATTCAAGGTCCTCACAGAAAGCTTCTGTGCTGCCATGTGTAACTTCACAAACACTGAGGAGAAAGCAGGCTGTGGCAATGTCAGCAGCAGCCCATCATGCAGGAGTGTTTAGTGTTAACTAGACTAAGGGTTTACAGTATTTTCAGATCAACATTAAAATTTTTGGTAATCATAACTCTTAATTTGATCTTTCAAAATAATTTTGCTTATGTTAAATTTGTTTAATCTTTTGTGACTTACAAGTTTCCCTGACTATATAATACATCTGGTAACTTCCACCAAGAAATTGGGATTGGTTGTTGTTGCTGTTTTTTGAGACAGAGTCTCGCTCTGACACCAGGCTGGAGTGCAGTGGTGTGATCTCGGCTCGCTGCAACCTCCGCCTCCAGGGTTCAAGTGTTCTCCTGCCTCAGCCTACCTTTTCCTAGGAACAACTCTCATTTCTTTTTTAGAAGAAGAGAAGTCATCACCATACCCACATAGACATTTTCATGCACTCTCATATCTTCTGTCTATTCTAAGAGCCCATTTATCTTTCCAGAAATTCAGCTGCTTTTTCACAAGTACCGTTTCTCCCTTTCCCTTTCCCCTACTAAGTTAGGTTTGGAGACACCAATAACTACCCTTTGAGTTACTGACTACTAAGTTTCTTCCATGTGTTTTGGGGATGGGCACGCTAATAAAATTATGTGCTTCTCTCTTGCTAATCTGTGCTATGTTAATCTGATTTGCAGGGCTCCAGTGGGAGAAGCTAGAAGGGAGAGGAAAAATAATTTTTTCTTCCACTATCCAGTTAACTTAAATAATAAAAGACCTAAAACTTGCAAGAGGTTAAAAGAATATTGTGGCCAGTTGCTAAATGTTTTGTTTCTATTTCACACCTAAATAGAGCTTGCCTTAAGGCTGTTTAATTGCTTTTGAATATTCTTTTCTATTATTGTTCATCTCAGCTTTAGGTAGAATTGTGAAATGGTATTTTACCACAACATAGCTGCTTACTATTGAAACAGGAAAGTTTCCTCATCCGCAACACAGGACATGTGACAGGGGTGTGGCTCACTCCTTCGGTCGCCTTGCTGCTCAAACCCCTAGTGGAAGCATGCAGACAGGCAGGTGCAGAGGCCATGGGGAGCACTTTTGGGCTACGGCCCCATGGCAGTGTCTAGGGGTGGTTGTCTGTGACTCTCAAAGCTTTTGATTGGTTATCTCAATTATAAACCTTATCTATAGGAAGGCAGAATAGAGTGAGGCTAAACATAATTGGTAAAGTAGTAGCAGTCACTTAAATGAGCTGGTAGAGAGGAATGGTTAGTATTGTGGGTGGCACAGTGATCTTGTTCTTAAAATTATGCAGTAGCTTTACTTTATCTTATTTTAGAGTCTTAGAGCAGCCATGTCTGAAGATATTATTCTGTGACATTTTTTGTGTTTAATAGAAGAATGGCTTTTGGGGCCAAGCCAGCTTCTGAATGTCAGAGACTGTTATTTTTTCTTTTCCTCACTGGTCATATCAATTTTTATCCCGTGTAACTCTACCAAACTTCTTTTTCTTTTTTTTTATTGAGGTATAATTTACTGGTGGTGAAATTCATGCTTTGTAGTATACAATTCTGTTAATCTTAAAAAATGTGTATAGTCATGTAACCACTACCAAGACCAAAATATAGAACAGTTTCATCACCACCCCAAATTTTCATCTTACATCTTTGCAAGCCACCTCTGTCTCCATTCCCAGCTCCTGATAATCACTGTTTGGTTTCTCAGCTCCATAATTTGGTCTTTGCCGAGATATCTTCTGTAGCTATATTCATACAGTGTGTAGCTTTTGGAATCTAGCTTCGGCTGCAGGCCATCAGCAACTACCTGGGGTCAGTGGTTTGGGAGTAAGTAGAATTTACCAAGATAGTTGCAACTAAAGAAAGGCATATTATTAGAGAACATAGGAAAATATGTTGCAAGGGAGCGATGGGGAAGTTGGCGAGAGAGGATCTAACTGCCAAGAGACAAAGGTTTGCTGTGAGGTTTTATAGGATGGTGCTTTTGCTGTATGCTGAAGAGGGCTTTGCGTAGTACTGATAACACCAGGGTTGTAGTAAGCTAACTTGTCATTTTCTGTCAGTGAAGGGTCTGGTGATGGCTGAGCACAGAAAGATTGTGAGTTATTTGCACAGGAGGGCTATGTGTCCTGGACCAGGAAGAAAGGCAGACTTCTAAGTTATCTGCTTTCTCTTTTTGCTTTCTCTTGGTCCCTCCAGCCTGACTCCTCTTCCCTAAATAGGACTCCACAGTTCTTTCATGTGAGAATCATCCCTACTACTGCATGCTCATCGATTTTCAGTGCTGAGTAGTATCCCATGGTATGGTGACCTGTGCATTGCAAACACAGTTTTAGTTCAGTAATAATGCAGTTCAATGCTGTGTAATAATCACGCTTCAAACATGATTGTGAATTAAAATTTCTATTCACATCTAGTTCTCGGGCAAAATCTTTTCTATGGTTTGCCTGTGTCCCCACCCAAATCTCATCTTGAATTTTAGTTCCTATAATTCCTACGTGTTGTGGGAGGGACCTGATGGGAGATAATTGAATCATGGTGGTGGTTTCCCCCATACTGTTCTCATGGTAGTGAATAATTCTCACGAGATCTGTTGGTTTTATAAGGGGAAGCCCCTTTCCCTTGGTTCTCACTCCCTTTTTGCCTGCCACCATGCCAGGTGTGCCTTTCAACTTCTGCCATGATTCTGAGGCCTCCCCAGACATGTGGAACTGAGTCCATTAAACCTCTTTTTCTTTATAAATTACCCAGTCTCTAGTATGTTTTTATCAGCAACTTGAAAACAGACTAATACAATTGTGCAGCTGAAATAAGGTGTCAGAAATGGTATTTGTAGTGGCTTGGGGAATAGTTTGCCTTCTCCCTGATTTTCTAGCTGTGTTCTTGACCCTCATTAGAAGGAGTAGAGGGCCTGGGTCAAAGGTAAAGGGTGGAGAGGATTTTACTGTCCCATGTAGAATACACTTTCTTAACCATCATGCTCTACTGTCTCTCCATATCTACTACGCAGTTAAAATGAACTTTGGGTAGTTTGCAAAACAATAAAATTAAAAGTCAAATAAACTAGCATAAATTTGGGGGAATGATTAATAAACTCAAAACAGGAAGTGTTCATTCAAACTGTACACCCCTTTCCAAAACAGGGGTGTAAACAACATCTCACAAATGGAATAAAAAACCATTAAGACTCCAAGTGAATCACTGGTGGAGGATATCAATAGAGATATCAAACATGGAGGAAAGTCATATGGCTAATACCATATGAAAAAGCTTCCATTTATGATCATCAAAGAGATAATATTAAAGCAACACAGTGGTAATATTTCCATCTACTAAAATGGCAGTGAAGTTTTAAAGTATGTGTTCTGTGTTATGACGATGTAGTGTAATAGGTACTCTTACAGCACTGAGAAACAGGACTTTACAATTTTTTTTCCAGAAAAAGCCTGCTTTCTCAAAATTCTGGAGATTGTCTTGATTTTTACTATTCTTTTTAATGGTAAAATAAGCAGTTGAGTAAAGATAATAATTAAATGGTCTAGTTAAAAATTACTTTTTGTTATTAAATATTATTTTCAGCTATTTGGACACAAAATATGAATTTTTATTTTAAGTTTACAAAGGCCACATTCTTTAGTAGCAAATAAAAATTGTTATAGAGATAGACAATCATGAACATCTTATATCATATTCATACATATACTACTTTGTTGATAATTTTTTTTACCAATTTTTTGTTTGTTAAACTCTTGCAGGTAGAGACTTGATGTTAATGATCTATTACTCATGGGCTACTCATCACTTTCTGCCTATGTGTATATTTCTGCTGCCCCATCTGCTAAGATATTTCTCTACTGTTGTTGGCTAATTGTCCTTTCTTGATGACTCAAGGGTTTCTTTTAAGGAATTCCAGATATTCTCCCCTTGCCTGCCATCCCTCAATCTCACTAGTGACTCCAGGTTTTTCCAGAAGTGCTCACTTCTCCATCTTCATAGAAATCCTTAGTCATGTTATACTGTATCCTGTAACTTTAAAGGATAGCTTTTCTGTCTTGTCTCAGGACACAGCATTGTCATGTCCCTAATGTCTGTCACACTTGAAGTGACATAGTAGTGCTTCTGTTTGAAAGACTGTAGGCTACAGACACTTAAATTCACGTATATGGTGAACATCAACTAAACTTGAGTTCATGTAAAGATCCCTCACACAGATTGAAAAATAGTGTCCTCAACTCACCAGAAATTAGATAGTAATATCCTGTGAACCCTTGTGACATGGTTTGTCTGTGTCTCCATCCAAATCTCATTTTGAATTGTATCTCCCATAATCCTCATGTGTTGTGGGAGGGATCCTGGAGGACGTAATTGAATCATGGGGGTGGGTTTTTTCTATGCTTTTCTCTTGATAGTAAGTCTCACAAGATCTGATGGTTTTATAAAGGGCAGTTGCCTTGCACACACTTTCTTGCTTGCTGCCATGTAAGATGTGCCTTTGTTCCTCCTTTGCCTTCCGCCATGATTGTGAGGCCTCCCCAGCCATGTGGAACTGTGAGTCCATTAAACCTCTCTCCTTTATAAATTACCCAGTCTTGGATAGTCTTTATTAGCAGTGTCAAAACAGACTAATACACCTTGTTATGAGACTGACAAAAATGCACGTGTGATTTTTCCACAAATGTCTTCATAGTGACCTACATGGCATTGAATTTAATGGTTTAAAAAATAATAATCATACAGTAGAAACAGAGTTGCATGTGGTTCTGAATACAGAAATGAGGCAAATAAATTTTTTAAAAAATTTTATCATTTCATCAATTGGCCACTTAAGACAAATTCTAACAGGTAACTTTTGAAAAGAACATGAAATAAATCTTCTTCTAGAATTAGGCTTCACAAATTTATACGTTATTGTTTATTTTATTCTTAATGAATTTTCAAAGACTAGGTTTTTTTCGGATGCAAAGTAACTGATCAGTAAATTGCATAAGTGTTTTGTAAGTTGTAAATTTATAAAATATAAAAGAGAATATGTAGTGTTATGGTAATTCTGGCTATGTGAAATTCAGTTCACAATTTATATACTTTAATTATATGCTATATAAAGTATCTCACTATATTTAAAATTATTACATTAGCAATTAAACTCTCAGCAGAAATTAAACACTTGAGGGAAATAATGTCAAAACTACAACAGATTTGAAACAATTGGAGTGATTTATTTTAAGCAAAATATTATAAAACAATTTCTCTTCTAATAAACAGAGAAAAAGTAGTTTGCCATTTTAATAACATCATTGTAAGTAGTCAAATAGGTTTGCTAGAGTATGTTTCTAATTAATTTTTACACAGAAGACAAAGTAAGTCATGCATCTCACAGAGGCACTGTGTTTTCTTAAGGCTTTTCCTTGGTGTTTTCTTCTCAATGGGCAAAATATGGTGTATGTCCTATCATTTTATTTACTTTTTGGTACTTAAATATAGTTAACTTGTTACAAAAATTTTTGAAGCACTTATTGAGGTACTATATATATGTTTTAATATATGTATTATAAAATTCAACATTTTAATTTTATAAGGCACTTATTTTTAATAAAATTAAAGAGTTGTGCAACCATTACCCAAATCAAATTTTACTACATCTCCATTATCACTCCCCGAAAATTCTTCTTGGCGGTGTGTGCAATCCCTAGTCCCACCCACACCCCACTAGCTACTTTCTGACTCCAGGGATGGAACCCTCTGGACTTTCATTAAATTGAATCATGGGATATGTGGGCTTTTGCATCTGGCTTCTCTAATTTAGCATAATGTTTTTGAGATTCATCTCAAAACATGTGATAGCATGTATCAGTACTTCTTTTTTTATTGCAAAATTTTTGTGGCATGAATATACATATTTTGTTTATCCATTCATTAGTTGATGGACATATAAATTGTTTTCATATTCTGTTTATTAAGAATAATGCTATAATATTTGAATACAACCTTTGTGTGGATGTTTATTTTCATTTGTCTTGGGTAAATTCCTAGGAGTGGAATTGCTTGGTCCTGTGATAAATTTATATTTAAACTTTTTTTTTTTTTTTTTGAGATGGAGTCTCACTCTGATCACCAGGCTGGAGT
This sequence comes from Homo sapiens, assembly GCF_000001405.40. Taxonomy (NCBI): domain Eukaryota; kingdom Metazoa; phylum Chordata; class Mammalia; order Primates; family Hominidae; genus Homo; species Homo sapiens. The sequence continues at coordinate 90,483 of NW_025791773.1, read as the reverse complement.
GCAATGGCACAATCTCAGCTCGCTGCAACCTCCACCTAACAGGTTCAAGCTATTCTCCTGTCTCAGCCTCCCAAGTAGCTGGGATTACAGGCCCACGCCACCACACCTGGCTAATTTTTTGTATTTTAGTAGGGATGGCGTTTCACCATGTTGCCCAGGCTGGTCTTGAACTCCTGAGCTCAGACAATCCACCCGCCTCGGCCTCCCAAAGTGCTAGGATTACAGGCATGAGCCAACACACTCGGCCTATATTTAACTTTTTATAAAACTGTCAAACTGTTTACAAAATGGCAGTACCATTTTTACATTCCCACCTGCAATGCATGAAGATGACTGTTTCTACATACCCTCACTCTAACATTTGTCATTGTTTATCACTTTTATTATAGCTACTTTCATTCATGTTAATCAGGATGTCATTGTGGTTTTAATTTTCATGTCCCAAATAACAAATTATATTGAGAATATCTTTATTTATTAGGAATTCATATACCATTTTTGGTAAAGTGTCTGTTCACATTTTTGGCCCATTTTCCCATTGGGACTTTTGTGTTCTTATTGTTGAATTGTAAAAGTTGTAATAAATTCCAGAAAAAATATATTTTATCTGAAATATAATTTGCAAATAATTCATCTTAATCTGTGACTTTTCCTTTTGTTTTCCTGATAGTGTCTTTTAATAGTGTCCTTTGACATATAATCATTTTAAGTTTTGATAACATCCAATTTTTTTTCCATTTATTGGTTATGCTTTTGGTGTCAAAAAAAGAATTATTTTTTTTAAGGGACATGGTCTTGCCATATTGCTCAGGCTGGTCTCGAACTCCTGAGCTCAAGTGATCCACCCGCCTCAGCCTCCCAAAGTGCTGGGATTAGAGGCTTGAGCCACTGCACCTGGCATCGTATCTTAGAATTCTTGACCTCACCCAGAGTTACAAAGATTTCCACCTATGTGTTTTTCTAAAAGTTCTATAGTTTAATACTTACATTTAGGTCTATGATCCACTTTGAGTTCATGTGAAGTAAGGGTATAAACTCATATTTTTGTATGTGAATATTCAATTGTCTCAGCATCAGTTTTCTAAAAGACTGACCTTTCCACCTTAAATTGCCTTGGCATCTTTGTGATAAATTTAATATAAATGGAAAGATTTGTTTCTAGACATTGATCTATAGATGTATACCTAAGGTATAAGAGGGAAAGGATAGTCTTTTAGAAAATTGATGGCCTTCCCATATACATTTTAGACTCTGCTTGTAAATTTCTGCAAAAACAAAAGCAGAAGCAAAAACAAAAACTCTGCAGGGACTTTAATAAGGGATTGTGTTGAATCTATAGATCAATTTTGGAATAAAGTGTCACCTTCACAATATTGAGTTTTCCAAACTATGAACAGGGTGCAAGTGGTTTTTGGTTAAATGGATAAATTGTATAGTGGCGAAGTCTGAGATTTTAGTGCACCCGTCACCTGAGTAGCGCACATTGTACCCAATATGTAGGTTTTTAAAAAATCTGTCACTCCCTCCCACTTTGTCTTCTGAGTCTCCAGTGTCCATTAGAACACTCCGTATGCCTTTATGTACCCAGAGCAGAGCTCCCACTTACAAGTGAGAACATGCAGTATTTGCTTTTCCATTCCTGAGTTACTTCACTTAGAATAATGGCCTCCAGCTCCATCCAAGTTGCTGCAGAAGACATTATTTTGTTCTTTTTTTAAATGGCTGAATAGTATTTCATGGTGTACTTCTACCACATTTTCTCTATCCACTCATCAGTTCGTGGGCACTTAGATTGGCTCCATATTTTGGCAATTGTGGATTATCCTGCAATAAATCTACACAGGCAGGTGTGTGTGGGTTTTTGTTTTTGTTGTTGTTGTTTTTATATCATGACTGCTTTTTCTTTGGCTAGATACCCACCAATGGGATTGCTGGATTCAGTGGTGAATCTACTTTCAGTTTTTTGAGAAATCTCCTTACTATTTCCCATAGGGGTTGTACCAATTTCCATCCCCATCAGTAGAGTCTAATTTTTCCCTTCTCACCACATCCAACCCAATATGCTGTTTTGGTTTGTTCTGACTTTTGAGTAATGGACATTCTGGCTGTGGTAAGGTGTTTCTCTTTTTAAAAATGTTCTTTCATTTCTCCCAGCAATGATTTGTATTTTTCAGATACAAATCTTATACTACTTATATTACATTTTTATGCCATTAGGAATGGATTTGTACATTAGTTTTGTTTTTATGTTATATATTGGTAATATATAGACATTTGTTGACATTGGTACACTGCTTGAATCCACCTAACTTGCTAAACCTATTTATTATTTTCTGTAGCATTTTTGTAAATTGCTTAGGTTTTTCTACCTAGAGGATCATATTGTCTGGGAATAAAAACACTTTGATGAATTTCCTCACGGTCTGAACGGCCCTTACTTCCTTCAATTGCCTTTTTGTACCTATTGAACTTCTAGCAAGTACAATGTTCAATAAAAGTGGCAAGTCAGTGTGCTGGCCTTCTTTCTAATTTTAGGGCTGACACATTAATTCTTTTACCATGAAGTATGATATTAGTTGTAGGTTTTTTGACTGTCCTTTATCATATTGAAATATTTCCCTTCTACTTATAGCTTGTTGAGAGATTTGACAATGAATGAGTGTTGGATTTATATGGAATATGTGTTAGACTTTGTAAAATGATTTCGCATCTATCAAGATGATCATTTGGATTATGCCCTTAGTTTAATTAATATAGTGTCTTAAGTTAATTGAATTTCTAAATTTTAATTCAAATAAAAATCACATTTCTAATATAAACCATTCTTGATCATGATGTATAATTCTTTAATATTTTACTAAATTTGGCTTGCTAGTATTTTGTCATGAATTTTTGCATTGACCTTTATGAGAGATCTTTGCGTGTAGTTTTCTTTCCTTGAGATGCCATTGGTTTTTGTTATTAAATATGAGACTCATAGAATAAGTTGAGAAGTGTTCCCTCTACTTGTGTTTTCTGGAGGAGTTTGTGAAAGATTGGTATTGTTTCTTAAATGTTTGATTGAATTCCTCTGTGACAGGCCTGGAGTTTTCTTTTTGGGAAAAAATTTAAATCTTAACTGAATTTCTTTATGTTTTATAGTTCTAGTTCTATTCATATTTTCTATTTCTTCTTGAGTTAGTCCTAGCAACTTGTGTCTTTCTAGGAATTTGTTCATTTCATTTAAGTTGTCTAATTTGTCTTGATACAGTTTTTCATATTATTCCTTTAAAGTTCTTTTAATTTCTGTGACATCAGTAGTAGCATCCAGTCTTTCATTTCTGATTTAGTTAATTCGTGTCGTCTCTTTTTTGTCAGTTTACAAAATGTCTGTCAATTTTGTGGATATTTTAAATGTACAACTTTTGATTTTATTGATTTATTATGTTTTTTTCTTCTGTATAATCTTTACTAATTCTTCTTTCTTGCTTTGCATTTAATTTGCTCTTCTTTCCTTTTTAAAAATTATACTTTAAGTTCTGGGATACATGTGCAGAACGTTCAGGTTTGTTATGTAGGTATACATGTGCCATGGTGGTTTGCTGCACCCATCAACCCGTCATTTATATTAGGTATTTCTCCTAATGCTATCCCTCCCCTTGCCCCCTACACCCCAACAGGCCCAAGTGTGTGATGTTCCCCTCCCTGAGTCCATGTGTTCTCATTGTTCAACTCCTACTTATGAGTGAGAACATGCGGTGTTTGGTTTTCTGTTCCTGTGTTTGCTGACAATGATGGTTTCCAGCTTCATCCATGTCCCTGAAAAGGACATGAACTCATCTTTTTTCTGGCTGCATAGTATTCCATGGTGTATATGTGCCACATTTTCTTTATCCAGTCTACCATTGATGGGCATTTGGTTGGTTCTAAGTCCTTGCTGTTGTGAATAGTGCTGCAGTAAACACACGTATGCATGTGTCTTTATGGTAGAATGATTTATAATCCTTTGGGTCTATACCCAGTAATGGGATTGCTGGGTCAAATGGTATTTCTAGTTCTAGATCCTTGAGGAATTTCCACACTGTCTTCCACAACGGTTGAACTAATTTACACTCCCACCAACAGTGTAAAAGCGGTCCTATTTCCCTACATCTTCTCCAGCATCTGTTGTTTCCTGACTTTTTAATGATTGCCATTCTAACTGGCATGAGATGGTATCTCATTGTGGTTTTGACTTGCATTTCTCTAATCACCAGTGATGATGAGCTTTTTTTCATATGTTTGTTGGCCACATACATGTCTTCTTATGAGAAGTGTCTGTTCGTATCCTTTGCCCACTTTTTCATGGGGTTGTTTGTTCTTTTCTTGTAAATTTGTTTAAGTTCCTTGTAGATTCTGTATATTAGCCCTTTGTCAGATGGATAGATTGAAAAAATTTTCTTCTATACTGTAGGTTGTCTAGCTAAAATAAATAGAGAGGTTCTTAATTGTAGATATTATCTGCCTTAATTGTAGATGTTATCTGTTATATGCCAATAAAGGATGTTATTGTCAGATGATATCTGACAATATCAGCCTTTTGATTGAAGTGATTCTATTTACATCTAATGTAGTCATTGACATGGCTGGACTTGCATCTGCCTTTTTGCTATTTTGCTGTTTGTGGAATGCAATTAATTCTATTTCCACTGTGAAAACATCTGTTTTCTTTAAACTTCTTAACACCCACATAGTATTTATTTGGGGTCCTCAATTATAACTGACAGAAACCCAGTTGACTGAGTTAATAAACAGAGAAGTAAGAAAAAAGGGATAAATTTGCCCACATTACTAGAAGGTTACCTTTGCTATTTCTAAAGGCTCAAATGATGCATAAGGTACCTGTTTCTGTTCATCTTTGCTATTTTCTGTATGCATTTATTTCAGTAGCAACACAGGCTTACATCTTACTTGATTGTTGCAATAGAAATGTTTATATTTTTCCCAAATTTGAGCAAAACTCCCAATGATAATAAACATTGGCTGTAACTTTTTGCTAAGTCCATCACTATGGCCATGGGGGATGAAATAATCTTTTTGGTTAGGCATGTATCAGTAAAAATCACAAGAACCAAGAGATATCATAAATGCCTGTGGAAGCCACAGCTTCCTCAAAAGTAAATAGATACATATTTGAAAAAAAAAGGATGCTGGGCTGGCAGGAACAACAGTTTTTACTATTCTGCTTTCATGGTATGGTACTCTCCCACTCTTAATTGGAGTTTTCTCCTTCAGTACTGACAGAATCTAAGGGTTTATGGAGGGGTCCTCGCTGGTAGTGCCTACCCAACTTGTTCAGTTGCTCTTGGAGTAAGGTCAGCTTCTTGAAGAGAGTTCCAGCAGTTTCCACAAGGTATTAAAATCTTATATTTCCACTGGAATTGAAATGAGGCCAAGAGTGACAAGTTGCATCCCTGAAATGTTTTCACATATGTGTCTGTGTGTTCCTACATGTGCATGGATACACAAGCACACACAAACACAAACACCCACATCCACATTGATAACCTACCCCACGTGTTCTTCTTATAATATGACCAACACCTGTCCTGTGGAGAGCTGAGGTCTGTTTTCTTCCCCTTGAATCTGGGTGGGAATTATGACTGTTATGGCGCATCTCATGCTTTGTGATTTCTGTAGCTAAGTCATAAAACCAATGCCGCTTTTGCCCAGCTCTTTCTGTCTCCCACTTGCTCTTGAAGGCCAGGCACTACGTTGCAGGAATGTCCAGACCACACGGAGAGGTCATGTGTGGGTGTTCTGACCAATAGCACCAGGTAAGGTCCCTGCCACAGCAAGAGCCAAGTGCTAGACAGATGAGATAACGAGCCGGTAGATGATGACAGCCCCAGACTCTGAGAAGCTCCACCCAACACCATGTGGAGCAGAGCCAAACAGTTCCCCTGAGTCCCTCCCAAACTGAGGATTTGTGAGAAAAATAAATTTTGTCACTATTTTAAGCCATTACACTTTGGATGATTTGTTAGACAGTCATGTTAACTCTAACTAAAGATATGTTATTTTTAATAATAACAGTCACTGTCTTGAATCTATACAGTTCTGCTACAGGATCATATGAAATCTTAGGAAAACTTGGTCTCTTGATTACTTTCTATGTGAAACTTTAGGATAACACAGTTTATAGCTAAAAGGCTACTGCGACTAATTCTTAAAAGGGGAAAATATGATGACTTGGTATGTGTTAATTGTTTGATTTATATGTTTTAGCATGATCTCAAGGTTTGCTGCAGCAAATGTTTTGCGTATGTTTATCTGGAAAAGTGACAGTCAATGTGAATTGTTAAAGGTCTCAAAAGGATGCCTGTGTCTGCAGCAATCAAAGGCAAAATATGTGCTTCTAGTATGTAATCTCCGACAGGTTAGAGTCTCTAAAAATACACTTCTCATTTCACTTTGGCATTTACTACTCATCTCCATTAAAGCAATTATTTAAATTTCAGGAGTCTTCATTTTGGGAGGAGTAATTTAGCAATGTGTTTCAAATTAGTTATTTTAAATTTCAGAAGTCATTTTTTTGTATCAATTCCTCATCTCTCTAAAAGTTATCTGCAGATTTATTACTTTCAGAAAACTTGTGTTTTTTTAGATAAAAGTGATTTGCTCTGTAATTGACCTGGTGTACCCTTAATAAAGAAAACTATTAATAGTTTTGTTTTCAATAATTAGGATACTTATGAGTGTCCAGGTCTTTGGAAAGATAAATGACTGAACAAAAAGACCTTCGAAAAAAGCCAGATATGGTGAAAAATATGATCCTTGTCATTGTATTATACAAAAGACTCAATGTGCTCACTGAAGCAGGTAGGGAACAAAGTGAAAGTTTATTTTAATTAAATAAGCTGCTTATAAGCTGTGTTTCTTTAAAGATAATGTGGGCCAATAATAAAACACAATACCTCAGGTTTATAGAATCGGATTCTAAAATCTCTTCACAGAAGCATAATCAACTATCAACAAGAGATGTTTGTAAAAATAAAATTGAATTATAGTAAATTATATTTCTGCCAGGCAATGATGGCCTGTTAACATTCAAAACCCTGATATCAGAATCTTAAACGAGAGGCACAATTTATAAATTAATAAATCTTGTGCTTAAAAATATATCTTTTAAAAAAAACTGTAGTCGGCTGGGTACAGTGGCTCCTGCCTGTAATCCCAGCACTTTGGGAGGCTGAGGCGGGCGGATCACGAGGTCAGGAGATCGAGACCATCCTGGCTAACACACTGAAACACCATCTCTACTAAAAATACAAAAAATTAGCCAGGTGTGGCAGCGTGCACCTGTAGTCCCAGCTATTCGGGAGGCTGAGGCAGGAAAATGGTGTGAACCTGGGAGGCGGAGGTTGCAGTGAGCCGAGATCACGCCACTGTACTTCAGCCAGGGGGACAGAGCAAGACTCCATCTCAAAAAAAAAAAAAAAAAAGAAAAGAAAAGAAAAGTAATTATATATTTATAAATGTTATAAAACTTGGCAAAAACTAGACTACCCACAAAATAGGTGATTGGATGATATAGTTTATAAACTGCAACCTTGAACCTTGGAAATTTGTCTGAAGAATATAGTTACCTGGAGTTCCGGCAGTTATCACAGCACAGCTGGTGAATGTAAGAAGAAATGTATCAACTGTAGACACAATATACAGCTCTGCATATGTACAGGCTGCACCAGTCTCCTTCCTGAAACGCACACATGCACAGAGCCATTCATAAACACACTCCTCAAATACATTCCACCAACGTGGCCATGGCTTACCGGTGGGCCTACCCAACTACTTGTCTTTCTAATCATTTGCACTTTTTCATCAAAATAAAGTGTGTATAATTTATAGAAATCATCAAAAAAACAAACTAAAGAGACTTATAGATGTAAAGCTTTCAAATCTTCACTAAGGAGAAATACAATAGGATATCTGGGGCAGAATTGTTAACCTAGATAATGATTATGGGTTACATAGAAGCTTTGTGTTAGGGTGAGAAAATGCATGACATGTTAGGCATGACCAAGAGCCAAGATAAAGTACAAGAATGCAAGGAAAGATACTACATTCTTAGAAGAACTCTTCAACCTTGCCAAAATATGAGCTACATTATGGGCTAATCTTGAAAAACGTCTTAGCAGGTGTTGAACAAAACAGATAAATCTCTCCAAATATGTATATCCAAATAAGTGTAGGATGTGGAAATGAAAAGGACAAGATATTGAAAATTATAGCAAAATAAAGTGGAGCTTCTACTAGTGGAAGGTTTTTGTGAGGACGGGATGGGGAAGTGGTGAGCTGAGAAGTTTAGCAACAGAAATTGGTGTCGGGTGGTGATAAACCCAGAGCAGGGGAGGACGTCTGCTAGCACTCTGTGAGCTCAGCCAGGGAAACTAGCCATGAAAAGTTCTCAGTCAGGTATGAAGATGAAACTGATGATTTATCAATACCAGGAATAGAAAGAAATGGAATCCACCGCTGTTCTTACGACTTGTAAAGTGCACAGCTAGATGGGTGTATCAGCTACTTCATATCCAACCACAAAACTGGAAAAAACTGATCTTGAAATGTAAGTGTGATTTTATGGAGGTCACAGGAGTGATGGGAGACGAATGCCTGGAGCACTGAACAGCCCTTGGTTTTCAAGCTAATGATCTTTTCGTGAAGTGGAATGCAGGAGATGAATCCTTCTTTCCACTCACTCTGTCCTCTCCTACAGTGTAGGGAGAGAGGCCGTACCTATAAAGTTCATCATCTAGGCACACGCAAACGTGTGTGTGCCTGTGTAAGGCAGCGGGGCTCTATGGATGAACAGCTGTGTCTGAAGAGCCTCAAAGAGAGCCACTTGGTTTATAATGAATGTCATAATACTGTCTAATCCGTTCAATACACCTGCGTCTCTATGAACAGAGAGTAAAATCTGGGCAGTGTGACACTGCGCATTCCAGCCAAATCGGTTCAGGAAAACCCTACCTTTGAATTCTAGAGAAAAAAAATTGTCAGAGACAAATGGCTTCTGTATGAACTTATCACATTTTGGGACACAGCAAGACGCATGGCTCTTCTCACCTCTGCTTTGGATTTTCTTCTGGCCAAGTTCAGTGTTTCTCTTCTCCAACTCTGACATCTACCAATCTGGGTGTGTTTGAACTTAATTTTGAGAATCTTCATCTTCCGTGGAATCCCGGGACTTTCAAGTTCATTTCATGTGCCAGCGTGAACGCCGGTTTATCTCATTCCTACCCATTGTTTGGCTTTGTCACCTCGTTTCTCAACTACATGGCTTGTCTGTGGACTCTGTAGGAGTACACAGACTCGCTTTTAGCTCTAGAACTTGGCTTTAAAAACCTGACCTACTCAGGAGTTTGAGACCAGCCTGGCCAACATGGTGAAACCCCATCTCTACTCAAAATACAAAAATTACCCAGGCGTGGTGGTGGGTGCCTATAGACCCAGCTACTAGGGAGGCTGAGGCAGGAGACTAGCTTGAACTTGGGAGGCAGAGGTTGCAGTGAGCTGAGATCATGCCACTGCACTCCAGCTGGGCAACAGAGTGAGATTCTGTCTCAAAAAAAAGAAAAAAAAAAGCCCTGACCTACAGCATACCTACACCATATCCATAAGTAAGAATGATTCAAATTTTTCTACAGGTATTCAGTTTCTCACAAAACAAAGGGCCTGAATACCTTTTAGACCAAGTGACTGTGATTAGACAAACACAATACCTTTCCTTCTTTCCAGAGACTTGGCTGGTATAAATAGGATATGATGCATAAAGATAGCAAGGGAAGTATCAAGTGAGAAATTCCAACAAATACTATAGGAGTTACAGACAGGAAGTGAATACATCCAGTCAGCATGGAAGATCTTCCAAGAAATGGGAGCGAAATTAGAAGGGCAGCTGCAATGCAGAGACTGGGAAGAGGCTATGGATAATCTAGTTTTCACCAAGTTTCATAAAATTTATAAACATATAATTGTAATTAATATATAATTACATAAGTATGATTATGTAAATAAATATGGCATCTAGACAGAATATAACGTGAGTATCAAAGAGAGCCTATAAACACAGATACATGAATAAGGGCCCTCCCAATGTGTGCGGCTGCCAGTGTGCAAGGTGGAAGCGAGTGCTCAGAATGAGCAGAGTAGCGCTGTGTGAAAGTCAGCGAGGAATGGAAGACAGTTTCAAAACCGACATGCTCTGTGTATGGAATGCTGCAACCGGGTAATGTAGGTTCAGAATGAGAACATAATTAAACCTACCCATTAAGAATTATATGAAGATTATTACCAAGAATCAAAGAAAAGAGCATTTATTAAGCACATATTATGTACCAAGAATTCTGCTAAGTGTGCATTATGCTTTGCCTCATTTACTCGTTAAGAAAAAGCTTATGAAATGCAGAAAATCTGAAATGTGACAACACATTTTTAAATAAATATTTGGTGAAGATAAAATTTACAAAAGAAGAAATGATCAAATCCATAGGAAACATCCAGAGTGTTATGCAACAGGAAATAGACACAGCTAAAATACCAAACACAAATCAAGGGTCATGGAGAGAAATAAGCCTGGACTCAAGAAACCAGAAAGGCTTATTGCATCATTTAAAACCAATTAGAAATGATAGAAATATAAATTACTGACCTGACACAATGGCTCACACCTGTAATCTCGGTACTTTAGGAGGCCAAGGCGGGCAGATCACCTGAAGTCAGGAATTCAAGACCAGCCTGGCCAATGTGGCAAAACCTCGTCTCTACTAAAAATACAAAAATTAGCCAAGCGTGGTGTCTGAAGAGCACCGGTGAGAGTGTTTTTCTGCGGCATCATGACTGACAGCTTCCAAATGATGTTTCCCTTAAACAAATAAAGTTAGATAATAATAGAAATTCTAATCCTTAGCTACGATTCCCTTATTTGCCAAAATGCCTTTTTAACAGATGTCCAATATAAGAAATTTTAATACTCCATCGTACTAGTTTGTAAGAGGAATTTTTTTTCACTTGGGCATTTTGTAAAATAAACAAAAACAACAAGTCAAAATGTTTTAAAATTATCTTTAACATTTTCTTTATCTTTAGCTTTTGTCCTTGAAAGTTGTTCCCTTTTCTCAGCATCCTTTTCCGTTCTGATTTCTTCCTTAGCTTGTGATGAATCTTCTCAGTAAATACTCCTGGAACTCTATGGCATGCTTTTGCTGAGTTTTATCTCTGTACAGAGTGTAAATTACCTTCTTTTCTTCAATCTCAGTATTGCCCCGCTGTGTTCTCCAGCATCAGCGCTTAGTATTGCAGTCGCACTGCACTTGCCTGTAGTTGATAATTTCATGGCCCTGCTGTCACACCTGGGTGCTGATCAGATTCAATTCCATCTTTCCTTTATCCCGTAACTGTGTCTTCTATGTGGTTATTAAATGCTGTTCTTTTTCTACTGGGTAACTATTTGAAGTTACACTGATTGTGTCTTCTGGAGAAAGTTCTGAAGCATTTAGCTCTTTTCAAAAGATGCTATTGACTAAATCACAATGATTCTTTTACTTTGAAGATTTAAACTTTGGAATACACAGTTCATATTTGTGTTTGGGGTCAAGCAATCGTTTGCCTTCCCATAGCTTCCCAAAGAAATGTGTTCTTACTTCTCAAGGAGAATCAGTGGCTTAAGCCAGATATACAAGGCAAATAGAAATATGAACAAAAAACTCAGTACTTGAAAATTTTAAAATCTTAAGTTGAAATTGTGGTTGAATTAGGAAATGTCTCTCTCCTTTTGCTGCTTTTCATGTCCCCTTTATTAGTAGAACCAAGTCAGAACTATCTTGATGTAACCATGTAAGAAGAAGGCTTCTTCCAGATCTCTCTCTTCAAACATGTATTTAGTTATTTTAACATAAAGGTATTAATTATATGTTTCTTGTAATTCAAAGGTAGAAATTATGTACCTTCACAGATTCCCTACAACATTTGAATACAAATTAGCAACACTGAAGATCTTTGAGGGTTTTCATAATTTTTTAGCATTTATACTTTTGCCTTATTTGTCTATAAATATTTTCCTTGTTGTAAGTCCAAGTCCTCTAATTGTTTTGAACCAAAAAATAGTTTGGCACAAAAGCCTTAAGATATAAACACTTGGCTTCACAATCTATTTCTATGACTCGATAAATAACTGAGTGAAGTTACAGCAAGTTAGTAGGGTTCCTAAAACCTGATTCCTTGTGTCTAAGTAGGGAACATGACACCTGCTACTCTTCATTTCAAAGACTCAAAATGAGGTCAGTACTGGATTTATTAGTGTATTAAATAACTGAGGGTTAGTATGGCAAAGTCGAGTAGGAAAGGTTCCTAGTGGATTCTCATCATTAGTTTTGTGTTTCTATTATTTTCACTTTACGTTTCACTTTATGCAGTTCAGTTTGGAGCCTAACCACTGAATGAGATGGTAGTGTAGGATGCTGGAATTTAAACTACATTGACTATAGGAAGTTGTATGTGAATGAGAAAGTGACATGAGAGGGCTTGGGAGCAGAGGGAGCAACGAGCTAAACGGGCCCACTCAAGGGGAGAGGCATCACAGCGTAGCTAGCGTGGGAGAAGAGCACAGAGGCATATGCAAGGCTTGTAGGGAGGGTGAGAGAAGGAAGGCACCATAGGCACTGTGAGTAGAAAGAATTGCTCATGGAAATGCACCATGGTCTGAAAGGGTGGGTTCTATTTGGTGACAGGTGAATAATTTGGTGTGGCTGAACTCTACCCACATGAACAACAGGAAAAAATGAAAAGAAGAAGTTGGGGCAAGATGGTAATGAACAACATTTTTATGCTTGTCCAAGGAATTTCTAACACACTATAAATGTAAGAAAATGCTGCATACTCTGAAGAAATACTAAGAAATATATATCTGGGGAATATTTTTGATAAAAAGAGACTAGAAAATGGTAAATGTTGGGAGTCAAGAATGTCTCTGATGAGAGAACGGAAGGAAACCCCACTGCTGAGACAGACAACTCAGGAAGATTTGAGAGAAGAGCCCCAGGGAGGAGGACTCCAATGATTACCTTTGCTTCTGCCTTAATCCTTCCTAAACCTACATGTGAGAAAGTTGAACAAGAAAGCAGGATTCCTGACTCATCTCAAGGCTGCTAAGAAGGACGGGGTGAGGGGGAAGCAGCTATCAGAGCTGGCTTCCTGAAGCCTGTTGTGTATGAAAACTGCTGTCTAACATGAAAGCTGTGGGGATAAAATTTGCATGTAAGTAATCAGGTGCAATATTTGTGAGTTAAGTGAAGTTAAATCTAATTGTAGAAAAGACACAAATAATTTACCTAATTTTATTTTTTTTAAATTCAGAACAGTTATTTGCTCTGAACTTGATGACGAGAAGATCAGCAAATTCCTTAACAGAGAATACAAGATCTCCAAGATCTTAGATGCGAGTCATGAATTAGGTTCTTCTGTCTTTGTAAAATCCATCTGGAAACATTGTGTATTATTCTAAATAACTTTTTTCTCTCTTAACCTTCTACCGAGTTAGAAGAGAGGGAAACAGTAGAGGCTGCTTTACCCTATAACCAAGTATTTTGGGAGGTATAAAGGCATGACATACAGGCATTTTCACTTATGGTTGTAAAAACTTATTTTAACATTTCTGCTACCACTTCTGCCTTTCTCATTAATATTTATGAATGTGTTAAGCTCTGAATATTGTCTTTCAATATAGTGGGCTAGATTCCCATGCAACACTCCCTATGCTAACTAATGCCCTGAAAGAGTAATACCAATAGATGTTAACACAACCAGAGTAGGTAAAAGTCAGAAGATGGACAACACTCAGTTTTAGCAAAAATGTATGGCGCTAAAACTCTACCATGTTGCTGGTGAGAGTGTAAAATGCTATACTTTAGAAACTATTCAGCCATTTCTTATAATGTTAAACATAGATCTAGCTCGTGTCACAATTTCACTGCTACGTATTTACTCAAGAGAAATAAAAACATGTCAACACAGACATACACAAAAACTTGCACAATATTTTGCTAGAATTTTTATTTACAATAGCCAGAAACTGAAACAACCCAGGTATTTCTCAGTAGGAGAATGGATATCAATATTTTTCAACAATGAAAGAGTACAAGCCCTGTTCTGTACAACAACATGAGTAAATTTTAAAAGTACTAAGTAAATGAAGCTAGATAAAAATTAATGCATGGAATTTTATGGTTTTTACATCAAGTTCAAAAAAATGCAAAACTCATCTATAATGACAGAAATTAAATCAGTGTCTGCTTATGAGAGGGCAAAAAGGAGACATAATGGAAATTTCTGAGAAAATGGAGATATCTTGTATATTTTTCGGGTATTTGTTATTTGATTGTGTAAATCGTCAAAATTTATTGAATTGAATATTTTGGTTCTTTGCATTTTACCATATAGAAATTTTACCAAAAGAAGAAGATGATATAAAATCTGCCTCCAAGGCAAGCGTCAAAATAAACTCAAAACCATAAAAACATAAGTAGGCAGTATTTATAGATATTTCAGCATGTTGTACACCCCTGGAACTTAACCCTCCTTAGAATTGTATGCAGATATAAGTGGTTAATATGAAGCTGATGGACATTCATAAGGTAATTAATAAGTTTTAAAACCTTGGAATCTTGAAATAAAATGTGTAGCAATGTCTACCCGCAAAAGTCATGCCCTGAAAGTTACCCAAGATGAGGAGAGAGGATCTTTAAAGTAGGGAGGGTTGTTTTAAATAAAGGGATAGCCTGAAGAAAAACATATTTATGGGTAGAAAGGTCAAAATCAGAGTGATATCAAAAGGAAAGCAGGCTTGGAATGAAATAGATAATGAAGAAACATCTGGCATCCTTATGGAGCATGCATAAGCATCTCTGGCAGCTCATTTGTCAAGCTCAATTTTCACAAAACAATAATTGTGTTTGATTAGAGTTTGGGGAGCAGGAATCTCAGAATGCAGGATGGAGCCATTTGGGGCAATACTGTACAGTTTTTAAAATTTTTTAATTGATACCTAATAGATAATCATATTTTCAGGATACATGTGATAAATTGATACATTCACATAATGTGTGAAGATGAAACCAGGGAAATTGGGGTATCCATCACCTTAAACTCTATTCAGGAACACATTGTTTAATTTCCAATATATTTGTGTAATTTCCAAAGTTCCTCTTATTATTCATTTCTGGTTTTATTCCATGGTGATCAGAAATGATACTTGATATGATTTCTACTTTCATGAATTTGTTGAGACTCGTTTGTGGCCTAAGATATGGTCTATTCTGGAGAATGTTCCATGTTCTGATGAAAAGAATATGTATGCAACAGCTGTTAGGTAAAATGTTCTGTAGGTGTGAGTTAGCCTATTTAGTCTAGTGTGTAATTTAACTCTGATGTTTCTTTGTTGGTCTTCTGTCTAGAGGATCGTCTATCACTAAGAAGCAGGCATTAAATTTCCCCACTATTATTATATTGCAGTCTGTCTCTCCCCTTAGATCTATTACTATTTGCTTTATATACCTCGGTGTTCTGTGTTGGGTGCATAGATATCTAGAATTGTTATATCCTCTTGCTGAATTGTCACCTTTATTTTTGTATAGTGACTTTGTCTATTTTTATAGTCTTTGACATGTTGCTATTTTATCTGATAAAAGCATTGTTACTTCTGCTCTTTTTTTATTTCAACTTGCATGGAATATCTGTTTCCATCCCTTTACTTTTTGGTCTATACGTGTCTTTATAAGTGAGTTTTTTTTTAGAAACAGGGTCTTGTTTTGTCACCTAGCTGGAGTGCAGTGGCATGATCAGGTGAGGTAGATCTCTTGTAAATTACATAGTTTGGTCTTGTTTATTTATTCATTCAGACACTCTTTTTTTTTTTAACTGGAGAATTGAGTCCATTTACATTCAGTATAATTATTGATACATAAGGACTTACTACTGCTTGGTTTTTGGGGGGTTTTTTGCTTGTTTTCTGGTTGTTTTGTAGCTCCTCTCTTCCTTTCTCTCTTTCTTATCATCTTCCTTTGCAATTGAGTGATTTTATCTGGTAGTACACTTTAATTCATTGCTTTTTATTTTTAGTGTATCTATCACAAGTTTTTGCATTGTGGCTGTCATGAAGCTTATATCAAATATCTTACAATAAGTTATTTTAAAGAGACGGCAGCTTATCTTAGATTGCAATAGAAAGTATAGACTCAAACAAAATACTGAAGAAAAAATTTCTACACTTTAACTTAATCCTCCCTATGTTTTAACTTTTTGTTGTTATCTCAATTTAGCTATTTTTTGTTGCCTGTCTCTTAACAGGTCACTGTAGCTATTGCTGGTTTTGATTGATTTGTCTTTTGAGTTTTATATTAGAATTATGAGTGGATTTCACATGTCAGTTACAGTGTTTGAGTATCCTGAGTTTGTCTATGTACTTTTACAGTTCATTTGATACATTCAAATGCTTCTTTGTGCACATTAGTGTTTTTGTTTTTGTTTTGTGTTAGATGGAAGACCTTGCTTTTAACACTTGTAAGATTTTGTTTGTTTAGGAAAGACCTGCTCCTTCATACTTGAAGAATAGCTTTGCTAGATAAACAATTCTTGA
The DNA here is from genome assembly GCF_000001405.40 of Homo sapiens. NCBI lineage: Eukaryota > Metazoa > Chordata > Mammalia > Primates > Hominidae > Homo > Homo sapiens. The sequence goes on along the minus strand of NW_025791773.1, from coordinate 73,832 downwards.
TTGCCATTTTTTTCTTCCACACTTTGAAAATGTCATCTCACGTACTCCTAGCCTTTACAGTTTCTGTTGAGACATCTTTTTCCAGATGAATTTGAGTTCCTTTATATTTTATCTGTTTCTTTTCTTTCACTACTTTTAGGGTTGTCTCTTTACTCTTGACATTTAAGAGCCTGATTACATGCCTTTTGGTAGTCTTATTTGGGTCAAACCTGTTTGGTGTTCTCAGACCTTCATGTACCCGAATAGTTGTATCTTTCTCAAGTTTTGGAACATTTTCTGTGGTTATTTCTTTGAGTAAGCTTTCTATTCCTTGTTCTTGCTCAGCTTCCTGTTGATCTCCAGTAATTTTTAGAGTTAGTCTTTTGAAGTTATTTTCTATAACTTGTTCATGATTTTTGTTCCTTTTTTTCCCCCTCTGACTGTGTATTTTCAAATAGCCTGTCTTTAGGCTCACTGACTCTTTTCTCTGCTTGAGTCATTCTGCTGTTGAGAGCCTCTAATAAAGTTTTCAGTTTAGTAAATGTATTTCTCAGTTCCAGGATTCTGAATTTACATCTATGTCTTTGTATTGACGGATTAGTTATTTTTTTCCAGTCTTCTCTACGTGGCTTGTTTTGGTTTTTATTGGATATGTTTGCTTAGAGATTCCTTCTAATTTATCTGTTGAATTTCTTTCTTTTTTATTTTCCACTAGGTTGCTGCCTCTTTATAGGTACTAGAGAGTGCCATAGGCCCATGTTTGCCTTGACTCTAGTAAGTGATTAGAGTACTGCCCATTCTGAATTAAGGAGGTCATAAAGGGGCTATCCCAGCAGTGTGGTGGGAAGGCTGGCTAGGGGTTCATGCCCAGGGGACCTGTGGAACATATCTCCCACAGTGTGGTGCTGGTGAGCAGCTGCTCTGATTTGGTGTCTTCTCTGCCCAAGTTACAGCACAGAGTTTCCAAGGCTGGGAATGACAGTCCCATCTTCCCCACTTTGTCTTTGGTTGCCCTCAGGGATGTTTCTCCTTCAGGCACTCCCAATGCTTCCTATGGGTTGAGGCAGGAATAGGTCTCCTGCTAGGAAACCCAGGATGGATGGGAAGCTGGTTGTTTACCTCTATCTCACTTTTTCCCGTGTAGAAAATATGAGTCTCGGAAAATTTTTCACTTACATGGTGTTGTACAGATTAGGGGGAGAAATGTCACAGATATGAAAGCCCAGTTCTCTCACCATCTGCTCAGAGCTTTTTACTTCTCTATGGACCTGGGAACTGTTTCACCCTCATACTTGGATTCTATGCTATTACTATTTTTAATCATGACACTGTCTATTTGCTTTTGGTTTTCTGATGAGGGGAGTGACACCAATGTGTTTCCATACTTCCATTCTGGAACCGGTCAATATTGTGAAGTTTCTCGTAGCACAGTTCAACACTACACCCAGAGCCCTCACCAGCTCGATGGGGGCCCCTTAGATTCTTCGTGGTCACCTGGCTCTTCTCTGTGCTATGCCCAAAGTTTCTCATTTATCTAGAAGTGTCAATTGAAAAACTACTTAAAATCAACATAAGAAAGGACTAGGAATCAGATGACAACTGCGTTTTGTTTTTCTGGCCACTTACAATGAACCAGTAGCCACTGCCTGGGATGCAGCATTGAAAATGGATGTGAAGTCTTTTGTAAGCTCAAGAAAACAGAATATGATGACTGATTAGCAAGGAAAGGGCCAGGGGTGGCACACATAATTGGGGAGCCTGTACTAGCAGCCACTTCAGCTTATAGGTGTGCTTTTTTAACAGTAGTTTCTAGAGCATTGTCTTTTGTTTATGGCCTCATAATTGTCTTCAATGATGATAAATGTTATTTGCCAGAGGGACTTTTCAGCATCCTGCAGCATTCTGCAAATTTCACACTATCTATAGTTCTTATCAAACTGTTGGTCTCAACTTTTGAGTGAGTCAGGAAATCAGTTCCAGGAGTCTCTCAACCATGTTTTAAGGAATAGAATATAACAACACAGAGTAACTAGAAACAAACTAAATTTCTAATTTTATACATATGTATATATTTATATGGTTCATTTTCTATAAAATGCATTCATTGCTTGTTTGAGAGATTATTCCCAGTACAGTGAATTAAAAAAACTATTTTTTCTCATTTTAGGTGTCAGTGACATGAAATTTGTCACTGCAGATATCCAGAGAGCTGAAATAAAGGGTAAGCCATGTGTGCAGCAATTGATACACATGTGATATCAGTCATGGAACTTCTTGACTTAATATTAAATGATTATCAAAGTTGATGTTAGCCCTTGCTTGCTCTGAATTTGGGGTTATTAACAGAGTTTAATCTGGAGTATAATTCTGACATTCAGATTATCAAAGACAGAGGTGAAATGTGGGCCACACTTGGCAAATGGAACTCATGAGGTTTGGTCCCAAAGGTCTCAGAGCTATAAATGGGGAAGCAATTTACCTGAATTAAAACCTGAGGTGCAGGAAATGCAGGAAAGCTAGCTTTCCTCAAAGAGATACATCAATCCTTGAATGATTCAGCTCATTCGGCATGAGCTGGATGTCTCACGCCCAGGCACACAGCTTTTGGGCCTTTCTAGTAAAGATTCTGTCCATAATAGGTTAGACACTGACCCTGCCATGTTCTGAGACCTCTGGGAGGTCTCTGGAGACAACTTCACACTGAGAGCATCCATCAAGTACAGGAGGCCCCTGGGAACCATAACTTGCTCACTTCAAGAGCTAATGCCTTGTGGGGACATCTTGATATTGCTATTGCTTGGCAGAAGAGCAAACCACAGCTCTTCCCCCAGAGACTCTACTCAGCAATCATTTCCATCTATAAAGAATTTTTTATTGCTGTGCTGGAGACATAGAGGGAAGCTGTGAGGCTACTATAGAATTCCTAACTTAGAATAACAACAGTAGAGTCTCCTACCTTGAAGCATTCTTATTTCAGCTCAGTCGACTTCACAACAGCATTACTCTCCTGTTTTGCAGAGTATTTAAGGCATGCAGGGATTAAATGACTGCCTTGAGGTGATGTTGGTAATTGCATTTTAAAACTTGTCGAAGAGTGATTTTGATTCACATAAGGCATTTTACAAGAGGGTGATTTTGGCTGGTAGAAAACAAGGCATTCTGACAATGGGTTGCATACCCTGTTGTTCTGTGAGGAAGAGACCTAAAAGGTTTTGTCTGAAGTAACGATGTTATCCATGGAAATGGCATTTTTCTTAGAAGGTTAAATTGCATAGTTTTGTGGAGATAGAGATTATGCTTAGTACATAGGAGGAGTTCAACATGTTTGTTGATTGAAATTAAAAAAATGAATGACACTGTCCCTTATGCAGCAGCGTACTCACCTACCAGGCATGCATGTTGAGTCTGTTTTCCCAGGGCTGCTAATAAGCTCTTTTTGCTATTGATGCTTTATCTTACTAGTGTCCTCGTGTTTGGGAATAGGCAGGGTAGAATCCAGCCATTGTCTGTGATAGTCAGCAAAGCAAACCAGCGATGGTAGGAACCCATGACTGGCGACTTTTAGCACCATATCAGGCAAATGTGAAAGAAATATTTAAAACTTCAGATTACTTCTTAAAGCTGTTTTATGTGAGAAAGGAAGTTACAGCCTGTGTATCCAAAACTAAATGAAGAAGAAAAGATTTTGTATGTGTTGCAGGGCTGGAACATGGAATTGTGTTCTACACGAATTTATAGAAGCGCTTGCAGCCAGACTATGTACTGATAAATTGGAATTGAATGTATTCTCATGAAATTTGCTTTACCCTTTTCCACAGAGTTGCTGGAGTGCTGAAATGCAGAACCTAGAGCAATACTGAAGTATGGACTGGGTCTGAGCTGCTGTACAGCTGTTGAAGGCAGTCTGAGGCACCCTGGAGAGAGACCTGGGCTTTCAGTACCCTTCTCAGGCCCCCAGCCCTCCTAGAGCATTCCTCAGCGAGATCTGTCAGCTTGCCATGCACAGGTTTTGCCTTGTCCCAGATCCTAGACCAGTGCTAAGTGGCAGCAGCAAGCCCTTACGCACATTCCTATTGAGGACATTCCTTATTGTATTTCCTTGCGGACGTCATAGTGTTACTGGGGGGTCCTTGTTCTTAGAGCTCCCAAGATGGTGGCTGCTTCCAAGATGGTGGCAAGCCTCGTGTTCTCTGACCTGGGGTTCTTGGCCTCATGGATTCCAAGGAATGGAACCTTGGGCCATGCGGGGAGTGTTATAGCTCTATTAGAAGCCCTGGGTCACGGAAGAGGACCGTGGAACCTATGACTAGTGTTCAGCTCAATTAGGACAAACCCTGGCACTTAGCCATGCAGGAACAATGGCAAGCCTTTATCCTGATCCAGAGTGGCAACAGGCGCCTTGCTGGATCAGAAACGCAGTGGACACCCTGCCAGATCCGGAGGGGAGAAGTCAAGGGAGGGTCTGGGACGACAGACAACAGCGGTGGTGGACGGCAAGCGAAAGCTCAGTTTGAGCCATCACAAACACAGACCAGAAGAGTGCGCAGTTGCAAGATTTAACAGGGTGAAAACAGAGCTCCCATACAATGGTAGGGGACCCAAAGGGGGCTGCTGTTGCCGGCTCAAATGCCTGGGTTTATATCCCGATCATTGTCCCTCCCCCTGTGCTCTCAGGCAATAGATGATTCGCTATTTCTTTACCTTCTGTTTTTGCCTAATTAGCATTTTAGCGAGCTGTCTTTACTACCTGATTGGTTGGGTGTGAGCTAAGTTGCAAGCTCCCTGTTTAAAGGTGGATGCAGTCACCTTCCCAGCTAGGCTTAGGGATTCTTAGTCGGCCTAGGAAATCCAGCTGGTCCTGTCTCTCAATAGTGCCCCAGCTCCTACTATTGGGTGTCTTTGTGGTGGCTTCAATGGCTTATTTCAAAACTTACCTGGACCTGGTGGTCCCAGAGAAAGCTTCTAGAATTCAATGTGCTTCCGCAAGTGGGAGCCACTTTCTCATCTTGACTCAGCGGTTCCATTCTGATTCTTAACCTCCAATGCCAACTATCTTCAGCATATTGCAAACTTCAGCAAACGAACAAAGCCAAGACTACTAACCTGTCAGGAATCTTTCTGCAAATCCGAAAAAAGCTCTGGGAGGGCAGAGGGCAGTGTCTTGTGCACTTAGAGAATGCCTTCATGTATATATCTGTATTATGCAGTTTTCTTAAGGGTGTCTTTTTCTCTGGAAAGATCTAACCCCGTCCCAGGCTACATGACTCGGAAGGCAGAGAAGTGTTGGATTTCAGCCCCACTCACCCCTCAGCTAGGTGCCTATGTGCGTTAGACCACCTATTTGACTATACAAATGGCTTATGCCCATTTAAAAAATTATTTTTCTAGAAGGCTTTCTAGTCCAGAAATTGCTCTAACACAATAACAATAAATAACACAAATAATTGCTCTAACACAATAAACAATAAATAACAATAAATTGCTCTTTATGCTTACCTGAATCTTGGCTTAGCACGGAAGGATCCAGGATTTATAGGCAGGCCTTCCAGATGTCAACAACTCCTGAAGTATGAAATTTTGACATGATCGAGATTTAGCAACGTGTTTCTATTGGCCTGAGGTCATTTGTACCATTGTTTTCACACAGGCATCCCTATTATAACCAAACCCAATGCCTAGACAGTGCCTGGCCTATAAGAGAGAGACAATAAAAAAGTTGTGGGCTCAGTTAACAAGCCATTGCATCACCCACCATCAATGCCCTCCTGCTGACCAAGAACCAGACCAAGAACCATGTTGACCACGTCTTGCTACCAGGAAAATCACACTATTTGTCCAACAAATCCTAAGATATAATAATAAAGATGAAAAGTTACATTAAAAAGTATTACTAAAATTAGGATATCAATCTGCATGTACTTAAATACGTGAAAAGAGGTAATATAATGTGTATGAAAAGAGGTAATATAATGTGTATGAAAAAAATGTTCTACTGAATGATTTTGGAAGCAGTTGATAAATTATTTTACCAGAAAGAGTAAGAATGGCATAATCATCTGTAGATACCACAGTACATATAATTCTTTATGAGATGGTTAATAACAGTGGAGTTGATCTTGGGAAAACATGCACGAATTGTGTGTAGCTTGCCAGCCGTTTTTCCCTCAAACCTTTATACTTGTGGCTTGTTTAACATCTTATAATCCCTTGTGATTACGTTGTTAAATCAATTTTTTCATGTTTCTTTTGTGGCCATCTTTTATAATTTTTATTTTTATACAGCCAGTGGGTCCCTGTTGTGAGGACGGCATGGGAGAGATGACTTCCTTCCAGCCTAAGGGATTGGGCACCGAAGACAGCACAGACAAGCATCCTTGGTCATTGCATGGAATAGAACATTTCAACAGCTCAAACACACTGGTAATGCTCCAGGAGAGGAATGAATGTTTCCTTCCCAGACATGTCATTTTGTATTAGCAGAAGCTGGACAGCTTGAGGATTATTGCTTGTATATCTGGAATTAAATTTCTAGCTCTCCGAATGCTCATCCTTTATAGCAGTGCCATGTTCTCGGGAGTTTAGCCAGTAATAGTGTTTGCTGCCACAATAGATACAAGTTGTTGGAAGCTGGTCACATCCACTCTCCTTCTTTACTGAACATAATGAATGATCACCCATTGCGTGGATAACAAAGCAATCAGGAAGTAAAACCTTTCTTGTTCTTTTTTGGCTCAATGAAAGGCAATACACGTGCTTGCTAACAACTACATGGCCAAAGAAAACACTCAAATAAACCTGCGAGTTTGTTCTTGCTTGGGGAGCAGGAGAAGTTAATGCCATGAGGCCATTCTAAAGTGGACCAGGTGAGTTGGATACATTAAAATGATTAATAACAGGGATGGTGAATGATGTCCCTCAAGAACATACATGATTCTTTCCTCCACCACTTGTCTTCAGTCTTTGCATTGAGATAAAAATCAGTTACTTATATGTACAAAAATAAAGGAAGGAGCTCATAAAAAATTAAAAAGTGGTATCAGAATGCAAAATAAATAAGACAGAATATGAACCAAGTCTTGTAACAATGTTAAATACATGAAATGAGGCTGTAAGTCTGTGATTGCAGTAAGAGGCACACAGGGGCATTTGAGTTCGGTCCTAAAGAGCAGAAAGCATTTTGTCATGTAGAAATGGAAAGAGCGCCTCAGGCAGCTGAAATAGTACACAAGTGGGTGAAGAGGGGAGAAACGCCTTTGAGGGCATGGAGTTTGGCTGTGTAGACAGGGCATATGGATTCAGTCTACAGAGAGCAGGCTGGCGATGCAACTGGGTGATGAGCACAGGGCAGGCTGAACCAGCAGAAGAGCCCAGGACCCCTCCAAATAGAAGCAGTTTAAAAATTCCCTCTCAGGTTTGTTATTTAATACTTCAGAGGATACAAACAACATATCAAAAGAAGTGTCAGGATTGGATTTTTATGTGAAATTTCATTTGGCTACTGGGTTTTGTTTTATTAGAAGAGTCTATCATTGCTTGTTGTCAGCATACAAGTCTTCACGCTGAGGGGGCACCTGGCACTTCCTGCAGTGGTGGGGTTTTATAGCATGCACCACACAGCTGCACCACCGCCCGCCTCCTGACCTGACCCATGCAACACAGCACTCTGCAGATGCCTCTTGTTCCTGGTCATCCGGGAGTCTCCTCACTAACCATTTCCAGCTGTTAGCACCTATATGGGCCACTGTTTGGAAAAATGCGGAGACCATTTGGACCCAAATGTCTTACTTAATGTTTCATTGATGCATACTTCATATACCACAAATATCACCAATTATAAGCATAAAATATGATAAGTTTTGACATAAAAACTCAGTCTTATATTCACCATTACATTACAGAAAGTTCCTTCCTTATGTTTGAAAAAATTCATTTTAAAAAGAAAGGCTGTGGTGTCCTTGTGGAATACACTCGTGGGCTTTCAGTGTGAGACGCCTTCTGGGAGCCATGATCAAGCCTGGACTTTGAATAAGGCAGCTGGAGAGTGGAGGATTCATGGAAGGTACACTTTGGAGGAGGAGATCTAGAAACTTTGTTAGTGTGTATGATGGGATGTAATAGCAATCAATTACATATCAATAACTAGGGTAAATTTTCAACATTATTGTTGATAATAGAAACCGATGAGTTACCTACGCAAATAATAATTTAAGAAAGGTTAATTTTTGTTGTGGTTCTATAAAAATAATGCTGTTTACCCGAACTGATCCATGCTCTTCACCATTTATGCAAGATTATCTTGCAGAAGCATAGCAATTATATACATCACTAATGTGGTCGGGGCTCTTGAGTGAATTCTGTTTCATTGGCATTAAGCACATTCTTCAGTGCTAAACAATGAGGTAGCTTCTCATGTTGTGTGATATTTAACAAATTTAGCACATTGAAAAGGCTCTCTGGGGTAAAATAAGATGTTTGTAAGTTGACATTTTGTATATTTTCCTAAGCCAATGTAAATACTATACAAAGAGATGGCAGTGAGGCTTCTGCAAGGTATCAATACAACCTCAAATGACTAAGTGCATGGCATTTTCTAAATTTTTAAAATTACTTCTTGAATACTTATTATGCCCTTATTCCACACCAGGTAGTGGAGATATAAATAGAGATCGTTTCTATTTCCATTAAGCTTTAAAACTTAGTGGAAAGAAAACTGACTTTAATCAAATAATGCTACCAAGATATAATGTAAGTGATAAGTGCAAAGAAGAAAAAGCGTTAATTGTAGAGCATCTATACTTGGGAATCCTAATACACTCTGGAAAATAGCTGAAAAGTTTCTTTGAGATCATGACATTTGAATTGAAATCTCAAGTTCAGGGACTAGAAATGAGGATCTGAACCAAGAGAGGAGCTTTTTCCAGGACAGGAGTTTGGACAATGTGAAGCACTTGAGAAGATGGAAGATGGTGAATGTGAGCTGAGGCGAGTGGAGAGGGAGAGTAGAGGAGACAAGGCAGATAGAGCAGACACTTGATCGTGAGGGACATGGGAGGCCATGCCACGGACTTGACCCTTTCTCTTACCTGTGATGACTCGTCTGAGAGACTTTATGCAGGAGAGCAGCACGATTGCCTTTGGAAATGGCCATCAGGCAGCCATGTGGAGTCTCTATTGCTCAGAAGACAGCAGGACACCACCTGGAAGCAATTCCGAGTAAGACACAGTGCTCAAGACAATGTTCGGATTAACCCTACATTCCACCAATAGGTATCAAGGACTCCCGACGTTTCAGGCATGGCACGGGGATTGGGACAGAGCAGTGGGAAAATGACAAAGGCCCTGCTTTTCATTCTAGTGGGTGTGTCAAGGGCTTAGAAGATCAGTAACAAAGGACAATGTGGGAGAGAAAAGAATGGAACAAAAAAATGACAGGAATGAAAGTAGATCTCTGCGTTTACACTGGGGAAATGTCAAAGTTCTGAGGGGAAAGGAGAAAACAACAGTGAACCCTACTCTGAACCAGTGTCAACAATTAATTAACAAAGTATAGAAATTAGCTGATTTTTTTTTGCATGTGTACCCTGTAAGAACAGGAGAGGAATTTTATTAGAACCCCCTTTTCTAGAGGGATAATGGCCGGGCTGTTCATTTTCTGTGATTTGCAGTTCTGTAAATATATTTATAATGATCATCAACTCTATATCTAGCCTACAGATTCACAACTCAAATATAGTAAATATGGAGCATCTGAAAATGCACAGCTGCTGTGTTTACTAAAGCACTTATTACATAAAAATAATATCTGTTATTCAATTGGGTTCTAAATTTGAACATGATACATACAATTCTGGTTATATTCACTATTGGAGTTAAGGAAAATGAATGAGGTCTACCTAAATTGATATGTGAGAAATTAAAAGCAGAATAAACACCCACCCACAGTGAGTGGCAGATATTCTAATACTTTCTAATGTACTTCATAGAATGTTTACAGAAATACAAATGACTAAGATTCATTTTTGAAGACAATTTTGTGGCTAATGGAAGTAGTTAATTTGTAATGTTTGATAATCTAGAGCTTTGATTAATCTTAGAGCTTCACTAAGTAACTTATAACACAATTATCACACTTATAACAATTCAGTGTTATAAGTTACTTAGTGAACATTTAGGATTCATGATTGACTCTCTTGAAACCATCCTGGATAGTTAATTGTGGAGCCGTTTCTTTTTCCTTGATATTTACATTTCATTAGTTTTCATTTGAGACCATTTAGATTTAACAGTTAACAAAAACCTATTTGCCTTTAACCTCATGTAGGTTAAGTATGTTTTTCATTTGAATAGAGATGTTAAGACATTTTTGTTTTAAATTTATATATTTCATAACTGAAGTATTCTCAGGATATGTCATTAATGAAGGCAACAGGATATATTAAAATAGAATAACATGAAGAAAGGAGGTGTTAACCAATTGATGGCCAAGGAGTACAATTCAGTACCAAAACCTTATCGTTTTCCAATTTATCCTATAGAACTGCTTGAATGATTAAATCACTTAAAAAGTTGCCAAGTATCTTGTGCTGAGGTTCTCAGAGCCCTGATATGGCAGTGAAACACCCGAGTGCAGTTTTTATAGTGAGACACTCGAGTGCAGCTTTTACAGCGAGACACCCGAGTGCAGCTTTTACAGCGAGACACCCGAGTGCAACTTTTATAGTGAGACACCCGAGTGCAACTTTTATAGTGAGACACCCGAGTGCAGCTTTTACAGTGAGACACCTGAGTGCAGTTTCTATAGTGAGACACCCGAGTGCAGCTTTTATAGTGAGACACCTGAGTGCAGTTTCTATAGTGAGATACCCGAGTGCAGCTTTTATAGTGAGACACCTGAGTGCAGTTTCTATAGTGAGATACCCGAGTGCAGCTTTTATAGTGAGACACCCGAGTGCAGCTTTTACAGTGAGACACCCGAGTGCAGCTTTTATGGTGAGACACCCGAGTGCAGTTTCTACAGTGAGACACCTGAGTGCAGCTTCTACAGTGAGACACCCGAGTGCAGTTTCTATAGTGAGACACCCGAGTGCAGCTTTTATAGTGAGACACCCGAGTGCAGCTTTTATAGTGAGACACCCGAGTGCAGTTTCTACAGTGAGACACCTGAGTGCAGCTTCTACAGTGAGACACCCGAGTGCAGTTTCTATAGTGAGATACCCGAGTGCAGCTTTTATAGTGAGACACCCGAGTGCAGCTTTTATAGTGAGACACCCGAGTGCAGTTTCTACAGTGAGACACCTGAGTGCAGCTTCTACAGTGAGACACCCGAGTGCAGTTTCTATAGTGAGATACCCGAGTGCAGCTTTTATAGTGAGATACCCGAGTGCAGCTTTTATAGCGAGACACCCGAGTGCAGCTTTTACAGTGAGACACCCGAGTGCAGCTTTTACAGTGACACACCCGAGTGCAGCTTTTACAGCGAGACACTCGACTGCAGCTTTTACAGTGAGACACCCGAGTGCAGTTTCTATAGTGAGACACCCGAGTGCAGCTTTTACAGTGACACACCCGAGTGCAGCTTTTACAGCGAGACACTCGACTGCAGCTTTTACAGTGAGACACCCGAGTGCAGTTTCTATAGTGAGACACCCGAGTGCAGTTTCTATAGTGAGACACCCGAGTGCAGCTTTTACAGTGAGACACCCGAGTGCAGCTTTTATAGTGAGACACCCGAGTGCAGTTTCTATAGTGAGACACCCGAGTGCAGCTTTTACAGTGACACACCCGAGTGCAGTTTCTACAGTGAGACACCCGAGTGCAGCTTTTACAGTGAGACACCCGAGTGCAGCTTTTACAGTGAGACACCCGAGTGCAGTTTCTACAGTGAGACACCCGAGTGCAGCTTTTACAGCGAGACACCCGAGTGCAGTTTCTATAGTGAGACACCCGAGTGCAGCTTTTACAGCGAGACACCCGAGTGCAGCTTTTACAGTGAGACACCCGAGTGCAGCTTTTATAGTGACACGCCCGAGTGCAGCTTTTACAGCGAGACACCCGAGTGCAGCTTCTATAGTGAGACACCCGAGTGCAGCTTTTACAGCGAGACACCCGAGTGGAGCTTTTACAGTGACACACCCGAGTGCAGTTTCTATAGTGAGACACCCGAGTGCAGCTTTTACAGCGAGACACCCGAGTGCAGTTTTTATAGTGAAACACCTGAAGTCTTATCATAACACAATCAGTCATTTCATTTCGCTTCATGACTAAGTGTTGCCATTTAATTTGGCTCTAGTTCAAAAAGGCTGATTAAGCAACAGTCTATGATTAGCTTGCTGATAACCCAATCTATTTGTGTCACATGTGATTTCAATAGAACAGGATTTTGAATGGAAGAAATAATTTGCTAAGAAAATCTTGACTCAAAACTGGAAAAAATAGACAACATTGTAAGAGGTTTGTGATGGTCATAGAGTGTGGATGAATAGGGAACGTGGGCATGAGGGGCCCACCTCCATAGCGTCCCACCCCTTAGACTGACTGACTTTCCACAGATGTTAATTCACGGAAAATTGTACTGATGCTTATTCAGTTCTTAAAACATGCTTGAGAAAATAATAATAACTAAACATCAAGGATTTCTTTTAAAACTCCTCCATGCACAATTAAAAATATAATTTTGCAAAGCCCTTTCACATCTGGTATGTCTATCATCAGCATTATCTTATATGATCTCAAAGGCAGATTTAATTTCTTTATTTTACAAGTAAGCCAATCAAGGCACATAGATTTTCAAGGATTTACTTCTGATTGACTTTTTTAGAGGGTGTTCTAAAATTATACCACAGTTTCTGAAGTATAATTTTAAGCTTTTTTAAAAACTATATTTCCTAGTGTGATGGATTTATTTTTTAAGACTGCAAATTAAGGTTTCACGTGGCCTTATTCTCCAAATTACATGTTAGATAGATAGTTATTTGTCAACCCAATATCATTGTCTTTTTCTTTTTTATGCATCTGATATAAACAGAATACGTTTCATAATCATATTCTAAAGTCTTGTGGGTAGGGGTGACCCCTGTGTCTGAGTTCTGGCAAATGATCGACGCGCAGAAGCACTGTGTGGACCATCTCTGAGGGCCGCGTCAGTGCTGACTCAGGAAGAGGGGAGCCGTTCTGTGCTTTTCCTGTCCTTCCTTTTCGCTGCCTGGAAAGCAGAATGATAGCAGTGTTTCCAGCAGCTGTCTTGGGCCATGGCACAATCTTGTGAATGAGAGTCACATGCTGAGGGTTGAGGGGAAAAATAAGAATGAAGGGTCTTGTTTCATTCAAATTCATGAAACCTCTGTGTCACCTTTGAGCTGTAATCCGCCTGAATTCTTTTACATGAGAGGATAACTTGGTGTGTTTAAGCCAATATTTGGATTTTCTGTTATATATAGACCACTCCAATCCTAACTGATATTAAACAAGTGTTAGAGTATTAAAGTATTAGAAACATGGATATTAGCCTTTTGGGTGTAAAAGTGTTAATATCACTAAAGTTGGCTTTTACATAGAGGGAAATGGTTTGTTTTTATCTATTCACTAATAAATCAGATGCATATCAATTTTATGTGCTTATCAAATATTCTAAAACAAGCTAAAAATCTTATTAGATGTAAAAAAGTTTTTAGTCTCAATGAGCTGAGCTTATTATTTATTTTAATAAGAATTTTTGGTGGTATGTCTATATAGTGATAATAAATACAACATTTTACCCATAATCCGATGAAAACTGGGATAGTCTATTGCAGAGCAAATTCTGAAACGAGGAAGGCAAATGAGTTATTTCTTTTCCCAAACCTTTAAGTGTGTGACCTTCAACAGGATCTGTGGGCTTTAGTTTTCTCAATAATGAAATCGGAGGGTAAGTCTTAAAAGTGTGTAACTTCACTTTTGGTTTTTAAATTATGGCCAAATAATATTATGAGAAACTTTATATCATATAATCATTAGATTTGAAAGAAAACAGATATTATCGAGTAATAAGATCTAGTCTCTATATTGATTTGATTCTTGTTTAATTTTGCACAGACTATACCTATGGAGGAAATGAAATGGCTTTTGTTGTAGGCAGATATTTATATTATTTTAAACTGCAGGGATTTGCAGTAAATGAGGGATTATAAATATGTACGTGGGAAAAGACTGGATATTAAAAGAAAAAAGAACTACTCAAAGATAAAATGGATGGCAAACATTTTTTTAAAAAAATCTAGCATGCTCGGCCGGGCGCGGTGGCTCACGCCTGTAATCCCAGCACTTTGGGAGGCCGAGGCGGGTGGATCATGAGGTCAGGAGATCGAGACCATCCTGGCTAACAAGGTGAAACCCCGTCTCTACTAAAAATACAAAAAATTAGCCGGGCGCGGTGGCGGGCGCCTGTAGTCCCAGCTACTCGGGAGGCTGAGGCAGGAGAATGGCGGGAACCCGGGAGGCGGAGCTTGCAGTGAGCCGAGATTGCGCCACTGCAGTCCGCAGTCCGGCCTGGGCGACAGAGCAAGACTCCGTCTCAAAAAAAAAAAAAAAAAAAAAAAAAAAAAAAAAAAAAAAAAAAAAAAAAAAAAATCTAGCATGCTCAAGAACATATGTGATAGACAAATCAGAAATCAGGAAAGTCAAGAATGGTGAAGCTTGTAAAAGAAAAGAGAAGGTCCTGTTTAAGAAAAAAAGAGAAGAATGAGTAGTTTCAAGAGCTAGTATATCATCCAAATGAAGCTGCGTGACTCCACCACTGGCTAGGAGTGTGACCTTGTGACAAATACTTAACCTTCCTAAACCTCAGTAGTTTGTTGATGATCATGATCTCTCATGAAAATTCTCTGTGGGACTTGCACAAACTTGATCTTTAAAAACATAGCTCCATTGTTATGAATTTCTCCTAACACTGAAAACAGAAAGGTAAAGAAAGAAGAGTTCTGAATAGGCAAAACAGACAATACACCTATTTTAGGAGATAAAATTTACATTTGCTTATAAAACCCCCATTCTTTATTAAACAGCCTTGTGTGGCCAATTTCCATATTTTTCCAGTTCACCAGCTTTCCCACTTCATTGAATTTGTCAAAATGTAAATGCAAGAAAAATTGTTTTGTTTAACTCAAATCCAGTTAATGAGAAATACCATGTAAGAATAAAGGATATAAATTTACCTATAATATTGAAAATCCAACAATCACATATCATCCTGCTTTGGTTCTTGTAAAATGTATTTTCAAAAATCATTGTGGAAAACCATTTACATTATTTCTAGTGAATTCATAAGTCACTCAACAATCAGGCAATTATCTGCATTGCAGAAAAATTACAATATGATAAAGCATATACCGAACAGAGGTGAATAGCACTTCATTTCAAGGTTCTCAAACACAAATGCTCATAAAATATTGTGGGATTTGTAGTATAGGAAGCTACAAAAATTGAAATGCAAATGTATAAGAAAGCAGAACTAAGGAAATCACATGGTTATACAAAGATGGGTGACACAGTTTAGGCGTTTGCTTTCTTTCTTTGTATTTTATTAAAAGTTCCAAAATGGACTAATTTCCCACTAAAGCCAAACCCAGTTCATTTTACAGATGAACTCTTTAAAATGAAAGATAAATAGTAAACCATTCTCTCAGAATTCCATCCTGCAGAGGCTCTGAGCACCAACTATCTGTCTGAGGTACACTTTAGTTTTTAAGTTGAGTTAAAAGTAATAAAAAAATGTGAGAGTCTTTAGACAATGGCACATTAATGGAGTTGCTGGAATGGTCTGAGAAATGCAGAACTCTGAATAATGTTTATTATTATTTTTGAAGGTTTTTATCTTGTTTTGTTTCATTCTGTTTTTGCTAAAAGCTGGGGCTTCCACGAATGACTTTAGGAAAGTTGGAACTGAATTATTTATGCTAAAAATGAGAATCTGAAGTTTAAATGTGAATAACTTGTATAACAACATCCAAGGCCATAGGATTCAGAAAAACAATGAGGTCATCTCAATAACTCAAACTGTTAGGAAGCATTTTTTTTCCATTTTTACCGTAATAGTTTCGGGGAGAACATGCTGCCTGATTAAGCTTGATGGTTAAAGCACATTTCCAAAAGCACTTTCGTAAGTAACATACATACTTAGCAGAATCTAAAAGACAGGTAATCACTTTAAAATTTTTTCTAATGAATGCCCTGTGTTCAAATCCTTTGTTTTCACAGGATTGGGCTTGTTGTTGTTGTTTTTGTTATTCATTGCCTGGAATACCTTTGCTATGAATCAAAGCAAGTGCCATGAGAATGGCTGAGTTCAGCTGGAGAGGAGCCCACTCAGTGGGTTTCCATGTGAATAATCATGCTCTTGCAGCCTTTGGGAGGTCATTTGCTGCAGGAGATTCTAAAATGAACCTGCTATGGAAATCAGAGGAGGGAGTGTGGCCTCCATCTTCTGTAATGAAAAGTATATACATCCTCAGGGTCATTACATTCTATGGGGACAGGGCAGGAAACTAAAAAAACAAGCAAAGGTGCCAGCAAATACAGTGGAGATAAACTCTGTTGTTCTTCTTTGTCTTTGTTTGGCAACACTACCAGATTTGAAGAATTGAACAAAAGTACTAGCTTATATAGGAATAAAATAACATTTTGCCTTTGCTAGGTTCTATTTTTCTTTAGAGCCACTTAACCAGATACAGCATAGTAAATACAGCAGTTCAAGGGGAAGATGGTAAAATAAAGGACAACAACAAAACTCCGAATATTTGCAGCTTATTAAATGGCACATTTTGAAAAGTGTGGCTTAGAAGATATCCAAGAAATTAACTTTTTCCGTGTGGTGACACATGTCTGACAATGTTGCAGCATTATATATGGTTTGGGTTACCTGTATCTATTCATTTTTAAATGTGTAGAGCATTTCCTAGAAGCAAGCAGGCTTGCTAGATTCTTAATAAATATTAACTCATTTAATCATCTTAAGAGTTCTCTGGAATAGACATTATTATTGGTAGTGTTATTCCCTTTTAACTTATAGAAAAACAGAGAGTCAGAGAAGTTACTTAAGTTTATGGATTATTACTGAGTGATATCTCATTATTTGAGAATTATATACAACATTTGTCTATATTGAAATAAGAGGTTTATATTTAATAGTTATTTGTTTATGAGATCATAGCAAAATTCAAAATCAGTTATTCTCTCGTGTGAAATGCTTTAAACATGAGCATAAATATATTTGTTAATATAGGAAGTTAAGGTCAACGTGATGAAATTGTTTTACAACATTTTGCTGGATGGCTTAATTTTCTTTAACTTACATTGTTTTTAATGGAAAACTTAAAAATGTCAGGTTGCTGAATCATGCGGAGGCAATCTTCATAAAATGCCTGAAGGTGATTGCTAAAAAAAAGCCGAAGCGGTGATGGTATAGTTTATGCTAAAAAAAAAAAAAAAAAAAAAAAGCAGAAGGTGACCAGAGAATAGTTCCAGAAGACAGGATATTGTACATAGGTTGCAAAAACGCATTTCTCTCGAAGATGAATCTGCATGTAGTAAAACAGACCAGTGCGTTGTCAAGGATGTGGAGCAAACAGAACTCCCATACACTGCTGATGGGAGTGTACAATGCACAACCACTCAGGAAAACTGGCAATTCCTTACAAAATTAAACATGCACTTACTCTTTGTCGTAGCAATTCCGCCTCTAGGCATTTATCCAGCAGATATGAAAACGCATGCACAAAAAGGTGTGTATTTAAGGGTTGACAGAGCTTTATTCCTAATATCTGAGCACTGCAAAACTCTATTGTCAATCCATAGATAGGTGAATTTTTTTAAAAAGTTCATTCAGACAATGAAATACTGCTTTCCAATGAATAGAACTGACAACTGACATATATAACCACAGGAAAGAATCTCAAAACATATTTCTAACTGATGGGACTAAGACACACAAAAAGTCATATCATAGGATTGCACAGATATGAAATACTGGAACAGGCAGAATGATAGTGACAGGGAACAGATAGGTAGTTCCCTGGGATCAAAATAAAACTTTGTGGGGTGATTGAAATATCCTTTATCTTGACTGGGAGTTATGTAAGTATATATTTTATCAAAACTCATTGAACTGTATACTTACAATGGGTACATTATTTTGCATGTATAGATCTAAAAAGGAAAAAGTACTAATACCGCGTTTTATATTCTAACAATTTATCAATAAGAGTAAATTACTCTTATTTAGGGAGACCTAAAGTGATGAAAAGAAACTGAGTAAGCAAAAGTCAAACCAGGAATTCAGACTTAAATATTACCATAATAGAATTAACAGAGTGATTTTTGTCTAAAATTCTCTGGACTCTATCCTTTATCTGTATATTTTATTGTGTAGTCAAAAATATTTAAAAAGCTAAAATCATTATTTTTATTTTCTCAAACATGGTGAATGTAAAACTACTCTGAGTTTCTTTAATTTTCACGACAAATGAAAGGTTAAGCCACTCTTTCTGGAAGGCCACACCAAAGCTTCATGAATGATTCTAAGTGACAACGACCAGGGTAAAATAAAGCACTTCGAATATAAGACTACAGTTATGATAGGCCTTAAAATCTCAAATTCTTAACAACAGAAACTGCACAATCTCCATTAGTTAAAAGGACGCGCGTGTGCTATACACCACCTTCTTAGAGCAGGCAATGAAACAGGAAGAAATGGGCAAATTCAATGTTTTAGTAGGCGGTTTGTGATAATATTGATGATTTTAACATACTGATGTTCCTTAATGCATATTCTGCCAAATAAGTCATTATCACAGCTCTCCAATGAAGAGGAAGTTTTAGTAAAAGCAAATAGGCGTTAGGATAGCTGAAAACTCACTAACTACTGCTATTTAAATAGAGAAATATAGTGCTATTATAAAAAGTATTTGCTATCTTCTTTAAATGTTCTCCAATGAGATTAGACTTCTGTAGAGAAAATGTGCTACAATAAAAGTGTGAAGCATGAGGCTGATGTTGATGGAGGAAATTCAGTGCTAGGTTAGCAGCAGAGAAGTTAAGCTATTAAAACACGTGTGTTCACACCACAGCCAGCGAAATTTCTTAATGGTTGCTGTATGGACACCATGGCAGCATTCTTCCCTAATGGAGCGCTGCGTGTTCAGCCGATCAATCAACCTCGCTTTTTATCTGATGTTTGCAGGCTTTTTACTAAAATAGAAAAGAGGCTCTTACTGCCTGCAGGAAGTTTGAAATTGAATGGAGGAATTGGAGGCAAATAGATTGAATCATATTGAAAGAGGTACAAAGTCATCTTCTCACAGGTGAACTTTCTTCTAGAAACACGTTAATAATCCACTTGACAAATTGCTTTCAGTCGCAATTCTGTGCTATTTATCACCATCATGACCAGTCTCTCTTGGTTTAGTTTAGTCTGGTAGTAGTTTAACGAGTAAGAACTATTTTGAAGGTAGATTAATAATTTGAAAAGTAAGTTATCATGTTGAAAGAATGAAATGTAATTCCAAAGTGAAATACAACCAACGGAATGATCATGGGGCAGTTCTTCCCTCTGACTGTGAATTGAGCTAAACGCATGTCAGGTATGAAGAATGCTAGAGTGATGCATGGCCCAGCTAGAAATAGAGGCAAATGCATGCAATTGAGATTTCCAAACTCTCCTCTCCACTTTTCCATTACCACCTTCTGGACTTGTTTTCCATTTATTAAATATAATCATTAAGTGAGTCCCTTCCTTCCTTCCTTCCTTCTTTCCTTCCTTTTTGACAGAGCTTTGCTCTGTCGCCAGGCTGGAGTGTAGTGGCGTGATCTCTGCTCACTGCAACCTCCGACTCCCTGGTTCAAGCAATTTTCCTGCCTCAGCCTCATGAGTAGCTGGGATTACAGGTGTGTACCACCACGCCTGGCTAATTTTTGTATTTTTAGTAGACACGGGGTTTCACCATGTTGGCCAGGTTGGTCTCGATCTCCTGACCTTGTGATCCGCCCACCTCGGCCTCCCAAAGTGCTGGGATTACAGTCGTGAGCCAATGCACCCAGCCATTTGTGCTTTCTCTGTTTTGGGTGACCATATAAATTATGATCCAAACTGTGACATTTCTGAAACAGACAGGGGTACTAATCAAAGGGGACATTAGGACAATACATAATAGACCTGCAGTGTTCTGGGCAGATCAGGTTGTGAGGTCATGCCACCTTCAGTCCTTGTTTTAGGCATCATAAACATGCCCATTGCTTTAACTCTCAGCTCTTTGAAGATGACTCCTAAATGCATGTCTTATATCAAGCTCAACTCTTTTTGATACTACTAACCTACTCAAAAACTTACAAAGGTTCCCCATTGCCATACTGTGTCATTCAAGACTCTCTTAGATAACCCAGATGATATTTCCAAAAGCAAATTCATTCCTCTGCACTCCCTGAGGCATAACTTAGAGTCATTCAATCAAACTGAATTGACTCATTATTTCATAATTTAACTATTTATTGCCCAGAAGTGTATTGTTTCCTCTACCTAGAATTTACTCTTCCATCTCCTATTTCTATTTTTATTCACATGAAATTAATTTTAATTTTTAAGCATCTCCTTGAATTCTAGATACGTAACTTTTTTTTGATATGACTTCTCCAACATGAGCAAACAAGAATGAGTTCTCTACCTCTCTTAAATTTGATTATAATTTTTACATTACTACTTCACCTGTGTTTTCTTTTACTGGTGTTTTATACTAATGTATGAAATTTGTTAACTTTTATGCAAAATTATAGCCTCTTTGAGAACTATAGATTTCATCTTATGTATTACTGTTTCCATAGTAGCTTGTTTTGGTTGGGGTTGTAGCAGATATTCAGTAAAAATATATTGATCGCCCAAGCGCAAGAAAGAGAGAGAGATCAACTTACAAAACAGCCATAACCTTGAATTATAGGTGCATCATTAGGAGTGCATCATTTTACTGGAATTAATAGTAATTATTTGCGACATTATTTGTTGTGATTTTTTTTTCTGTTCTGTATAAATAACTGAATTATGTGACTTTGGTTTTTGAAATGGTTCATGACCAGATCTAGAAACAAATCCTCCTTCTGTCATCCAAAGGTAGGCTTTCAATATTTCTTAGACCCTGAGGAAAAGTATACTCATTCATGTAGACAAAAATTTTTCATGACTGAAGCTTAAGTTTTTATATTTCTTTAGAGTTAGGTAAGTGTTTTATGTGACTCAGAAAATGGCTAAAACTACAAAATTAAATTATATTAAATTAAAATTAAATTATAAAGACTTGTCAATTTATAAAAAGTAACTCATTCAAAATATAGAACAAAATTTTATCTTCCACATAAAATATATTCCTAAAATCCTCTCATTTTAAATTGTTTATCTGAGTGAATTTTTCCAAATTTGTAAGGGTTTCAAATTCATTTTGTGAAGTTATCCAATGTTTAATTTTATCTTTCAGAGGTGAAAAGTTTCTATTGGAGCCACATTAAATTTTAAAGTTTCTCAGCTTATATCACACCTTTTAGGGTACTGCATGTAAAGTTGTACTCAAATAAATATCTGTTGCATAAATCCAGTTTTGCTTTTTCTCCAAAATTCTTACCTGGAGCATAAATTGCTGTTGTCTGACGCTAGAATTAGAAGTTTGTGCAGATTTAGTATTAAACCTCTGTCTGTAGTGGCTCATTAAGATTGCTTTTCAGTATTTGCAAAATTATACAATCTCAAAGAACTATGTTCTCTCTAGAGAGTAAAACTTTATTTTAGCAAGTCACTTCAAAGCATCTCATGGAATTCCTACAGAAAAATGATGATATATGGACTGTCCGTGGCATGAAAATAGGGCTCCAAACTTGGAGTAGATTCTTGTTTGTTTGAATGAATGTTTCCTGGCATGTGGAGTTTATCAGCCTGTCACACAAGAAAGACTCAGGGTAGCATTCCACTCTTCCCATTTACCGGCTGTGTGGCATCTGTGATGGGCTCACTGTCCCCTCAAAATTCAGATATTGAAGTTCTAACCCCTAGTACTTCAGAATACAGCCTATTTTGGAGATACAGTCTTAAATTGCACAATAAAGTTTAATTCAAGTCTTTAGGATGGGCCTTAATCCAATCTGACTGGTGTCTTTATAAGAAGAAGAAATTTGTACACCAGAAATGTCCTTGCACAGAGGAAAGATCTTGTAAAGAGACAGAGGGAGAGTGGACATCTGCAAGCCAAAGAGAGGGGCCTCAGAGGGAACCTACCTTGCCAACCTCTTGATCTTGGACTTCCACCATCCAGAGCTGTGCTGACATAACCTGCTTTTGTTTAGGCCGCCCAGTCTCTGGTACTTCGTTACGGTAGCCCCAGCAAAGGAACATGGCCTCTGACTCTCCACCACCATTGGTTGGCTCAACAGACACAGCCTCCTGCTCCCCACCTTAATGGGACTGACAGCTCCATGAAGTCCCTCAGGCCCCTCTGGAGAGCCCATCGTCTCATTGCCAGAGAGGCCACCTGGATAGTGTAGCTCATAGACTGCTCTGCTTCCCCACGTCCCAGACGAAGGGCTCTTCTATGCATGGCCTTATTTCTCATCTCACTAACAATATGGAAGAGCAGATCTCAAATGTAATGCAAGGCATGGGAAAAGTTTAACATGGAGAAAATGTGACATTTGATTCTGCTTTTATCATTATATAAAGTGGACAGAGTCCTTTTCATGACGATTTGGAGGCTGCTTGGAATGCTGAGAAGTGCTTCTCCCCCTGTGCTGATGTATCACCTCCCAGCATGGCTCAGTAGCAGAATACCAAGGAATCCATCCAAAGGATTCCCTTGATCTCCACCTCAGTGTCTTCCAGGCCAAGCTGCTGTGCCAGCACTGTAATGAGAGGGACTGGCCCCATAACACCGTGGGGGGACAACCCAATTGGCTTTGTGAGACAGAAGTGATCCACTGATGGGGAAATCCCATTTGTGATGTTTCTCACTATCTCTGTGTAACACGGTTCATGAAGGCAAGGCAGCCATGCTTATTTTGTTCTTTGAAATTCCTTCATGACACTCATTAGAACATTCTGCACAAAAAACACAGTTTAAATCCTGGCTACATATTCACCTTGGGGTGTGTACAGGGTAAGTAATGAGTCAATGACTAGAAATTCCCTACCCTCTGTTCAACTTTTAAAAATTATTTTAATTTAGGTACAGTTGTATACTATTTTAGTATACGTTTTTTTATTTTCAAAGTGCTTTTTTTTTTTTTTTTGAGATGGAGTCTCGCTCTTGTCGCCCAGGCTGTAATGCAGTGGCATGACCTCAGCTCACTGCAACCTCTGCCTCCCGGGTGCAAGAGATTCTCCCACCTCAGCCTCCCAAGTAGCTGGGATTACAGGCAACCACCAGCATGCCTGGCTAAATTTTGTATTTTTAGTAGAGACAGGGTTTCTCCATTTTGGCCAGGCTGGTCTTGAACTCCAGACCTCATGTGATCCACCTGCCTCAGCCTCCCAAAGTGCTGGGATTACAGGTGTGAGTCACTGTGCCCAGCCCTACTTCAACATGTCCTTTATCTCTGTTGCCATTCACTGAGCATGTATTTATGGAAGGCTGAGATACACCTGATGCTACTTCTTAGATATTTTAGCTTATTTTTAAGGTACTCTAGTCTGTTCACCTATTATGAAAACTGAATGCTGTCCTTAGGGATCTTACAGTCTAGTACAGGTGAGAATTCATGCATATAAATAAGTATAACAAAAACTACGGAATCCAGGGGTTTGCTTTGGACAAGTCGAACACACATTTTCACTGTTGCCTTTTTCTATATTCAAAAACCAGCAGGAAAGAGGGCCCCGCTAAAAATAAGATCATCACAAACAGGAAAGTGTTATTTCCCATTTTCTTTCAGTGCCTTGTATTATAAGGGAGTAGGATCTGGGGGTAGATGCTTATGTAACACAACACCTTAATGCATTTTCTCCTGTGCTAATGTTATGTCTGGAACCTGTCAGGGATAAGCAGCAGAAAAAAATTGCTTAGCAGGAGAAAATAACAGAAATGTGGAGGCTGAGGATTGATTGGTACCTAGAAAGGGGCAAAGAAATTCTCCCCTCAACAGTGAAAACTGAAGGCTTTGGTGATGAACGAGGACTAGGATAAATGATCTCTTGCAGGTAAATCGCCCAGGAATTTCTAGGACTGCAGTATTCCAATTTCAGCAGTTAGTGGAAGATTCACATTCAGAAACCCTTCTTATTAAATCAAAGTTTCGAAAAATCTTTTCTGGTACTCTGTCTTCTTAGTAGTGGGCCTTTTGAGGAATGAAGGAATATGAGATCTAGTATATTGGGACATTGTACAGAAAAAGACCACAGCAGGCATTAGAAATGAGACAAAGTAAGGATCAGTAATGTAGGGACAATGGAAAACCATAATAGAAGGAAAGAGTTTTTATCCAAAATATGTAATGTATATCCCAGTCCCCAGCTCAAACCCTTACAAAGACTCTCAGAGGTAGTGGAAGTAAAAATAGATTTCCCTCTAATTATGAAACAAGGGTCTCTCAAGACATGGAACCTTGTTATGAGAGTGGAGGACAACCCAGCTGCTTTTGGGGAAAGGTGAGATGTGAAAATGAGTATCTGGCTTACAGTCAGAAGTGACCTCAGAGAGACTGAAACTGAGCTGAGGGTCTATTCAAGTAGGGAAGGACTGAAGTAGGCAGTTAATAGTGTGTTCTCAGGGATCGTGAGCTGTGGATGCTGCCACACGCGACATTCACTCGAAATCTTCATTCCTTTTCGGAAATATTATTCTCATCTATTTTTTAAAACTCATTTTTTCCAGTTAAGATACTTATTTTTCTCTGGCATTGTTGCCAACTGTTATAATTTCATCAGCTTCAATCTATGTAAAATATTTTCTTCTTCATAGACACATAGACAACAAGTTATTTTGTCCCAAATGGACAAATGCAGATAACAAAGTTTCAAAATTCAATATTATATAAATATTGTAATCAGCGAGTCGTGCACATAGTTCGTTGCATCGGTTATTTGGCTTCTCCGTTCTGGCGTTGCTGTTGTTGTTGTTGTTTGTTGTTGTTGTTTTTGACGGAGTCTCGCTCTGCCGCCCAGGCTGGAGTGCGGTGGCGGGATCTCGGCTCACTGCAACCTCCGCCTCCCGGGTTCCCGCCATTCTCCTGCCTCAGCCTCCCGAGTAGCTGGGACCCGCCACCACGCCCGGCTAATTTTTTGTATTTTTAGTAGAGACGGGGTTTCACGGTGTTAGCCAGGATGGTCTCGATCTCCTGACCTCGTGATCCGCCCGCCTCGGCCTCCCAAAGTGCTGGGATTACAGGCGTGAGCCCCCGCGCCTGACCCATTCTGGCTTTTTTACCTGGTCTTCATATTTACATAAGTTAGGATTGCCTAGAAGGGACTGAAGCCACTGACCACATTTAGCACAGTAGAATATATATGGCCAAATATAATGAAGACAAATATATAAAAACAGGCATTATTTGGGTACTTCAGAGAAAGGGGCTCTGTCAACATCAAAGTATTGTCCAGTGTTATTCTCTCAGCATCTCCATATGTCCTTGTACTTTCCCATATGACAAGGATCCTTAAAAAAAATCAGTCTCCAATAAGTGTAGATGTAGTTCATGAGTAACTTTATGATCTTATAAAATATTTTAGTTCCTACTATTGGCAGGCCTTATGTCGTGTCTATATTTCCTCTGCACGACATACACAATACTCAGAGATAGATGCTATCACACTTATATTTTACTTATAAGGAAATAGAAGCACTGAAAGGCTAAGTCACTTGCCCAAGCTGTCACCTAGCGAAGAGTGGATTCATACTTGAACACAGGTAGTCTAACTGCCCAGTTCACATTTTTATCCGCCATCCTTGGTAGCCAGAGAAGTATGCATTATTACACATTTATTTTCAGAAGCAATGCTGTCCATCCATATCGTTGCATGCACACTGATCAAGTGCGTGTCACTGTTCTCTGGACTGGTGATCTAAAGATGGGTCCTGGTCACACAGCGGGGCACTCTCTACCCTTTCTCCTAAGCAGTTATTCTGGTCAAGACAATCAACTCTGCTCCTACTAAAAGGCTGACTCGGGAGACTCAGTGGCTCAGTAAGAGAGCATGTGCCTCACCTAAAGGCAAAATGGTTCAGGAATGTGTCTGCTTCTATGCATATTAACTAGTTGCAGCATGAACTGGAACATTTATTAATTAATTGCAGTTCTTAAAGTGGATAGGTTTTTGCCCTACTACTGATGTCCTTCCCTTTACTAACTTTGCCCCTGGGAAGGGAGAGTGATGGCCTTACTGAAAAATTTCAGAAAACTGAATACTCTGTTCAGCCCTCTCATCCATTCTTTGCTAAGTGAATTGCTGCTTGATGCCGGGCTGGGCTGTTTATTTAGAAACTGCACTCCTTGGGAGATGGAGGGCTTCTGGGATGGGAAGGGGGAAGCCCGTTTAGCTCTGAGATTCAGTGTTAGCAAAACAATGTGGCCAATAGGCCTCTATTGCATCCTCCCACGTGGTCTCATCTCGCTCAGTCCATGGAGCAGAAAAGAAGGTATTTTTGTTTAGGGTGCCATATACAAACACAATCACTAATTAGATAAAATTCTATTCTCCAACAGGAAGCAAACAAGTTGTGAGTATCCAGGCCATTATTATCTAGGAAACCATGTAAACATACTCTAATAGTTGTCACTGTGAAATAAATATATGTGTGTGTGTGTATATATATATACATATATATATTTAAGCAGAAGTATACATACTGCTTTCAATACATATCAGTACTAAAGAACACTAGCTGAATTCTTACCTGCTTCTTTATTTCTAAAACTTCCAGTGTCTTAAAGTGTGCATCTCCATGCCCAGAATTGCCTGCTATACTCTAGCCACATGATATTTGCGATCACTTAGGAATACAGATCCTAGATTATTTGGGGCATTAGTCCTAGGAAATATATTTCCTAGATAAAGGTAGTGATTTCATTTTTGTCACATCTATTTGACATTTTGACTATCATCGTCTATCTTTTCCTAAGAGATAGACTCATCTCTACAGCCAGTAAGCTTCCAGCCTTAGTGCATTCATTTACATTTTAGTATCAATATTGCAGCTATGTTATAAAGTTTATAAGTCATAGCTTTTTAGTACAGACATATAGAACCAAGAACAGTATCATAATTGTACGAAGGGGCCATTAAGTAGACTAGCTGCAGTGAAATGCCTATGCATGAGCCTCAGTTAAACTCTGCAGGGCAAGTGAAGTACCCTATGCTGCTAGGCCAAGGTTCTTGATGCTTTATTCCATTTGCATTGGCCCATGTGACTCATGTGAGGTGACTACTTGCAGTGGGTGTGTATGGAATGTACATTTCTGTAAATAGCAGTTATGTGGCTACATTGCAAATACACTGAGTTCTGGCCCTTTCTACAATGAGGAAAAGGTGAATGAGCAATGGTCTGTTCACCATTGATTTATAAGGAGTGATTTCCTACATCTGCACTCCAAACGCCAGTGGATTTAATTTACCAAATTTCCTGGTAATCATATACATTGACCTTGAAAGGACACACTTTCTTTCTTTCTTTCCTGAAAAGGACAATCACTCAATCCCCCTCCCTTTGAATTTAATGCACATTCACCTAAGGCAGCCTATGAGGTTGCTTGCTAAAGGGTTGGAATGACTGAGGTATCTTTACTTAGCATCGTTCTCTGGGAAAACAGAATTCTAGCGTTTTTGTCTCTAGAGTTTGTACACTAGACAATGAAATGCAAAAGCTGAGTGAAGACTAATGCTCTATTTGTACTGAGGCTATGTGAAAATGGAAGGTTTTTAATCACTGAAAAGGCCTACCGTGTCATCTCCTTCTTTTCCTTGCAAACACAGGGTTGCTCCCCCTGGTATAATCTTTTTTTTTTTTTCCCTGTCCAGACCAGACTTAAGTGATACCAGATGTTGGCTGTCCAGCAATATTTTGCTCATTTCTCAGCTGGAAAATCAGTTTTCTCTTTTTCCCATTTTATGAAAACTCCTCATTTATTTCTAAAACAGAGTGAAACCAAACTTAACAAATTATTACCTTCAGCAAATCACGAATTAATGTGAACTATGCTCTGCACCAATTATTAAAGAGGTATTTGTTCATGAGCACTCAGACCAGTGCACTATACTGCACTCAATTCCCCCAACCTAGTAATATAAAAGCTTCAAGAATGTCAAAAGCTTCAAAATATTAAAATATTTTACATACAGATTATTATATATATACTTTAGTTATATATATTTTATTTTTTGTAAATCAAACTGGTGAAATGTGTGGTCTGAATGTTTCTACATCTAACAGCTGTTCCTGCAGGGTGAGCCCTGCAACCAGTACCCCTCATTTATCCATAAGAAGAGGCTTAGCTGGGCACAGGAGCCCTGGAACAAAGCGGGGAGTCTTCACAGTCAATTGGACCCCAAATTTAGGAAAGTTTATATCAGTCATCAATACGAATGTGAACCTAACTAAGTATTTATTTAGAAAATACACACTTTCTACCTTGAGGACCCAGCATACATCCTTGCAGGAACCAAGCAAATGACAGTATAATTTTTCAGGAAACAGACTAAGGTTGTGTTTAAGACCATGGGTGTTAGGGGAAGTTAGAATTGCCCAAGAGTCTCAAGGAAGTACGTGAAGGAGATCAGATTTAAACCTGGAGAGCTTTTGAATAGTGTGAGGTAAACATAGCAGTGGTTAACCAGACAATGGCTACACGTATTTGCTAGGTCTGCCATAACAAAATACTATAGACTGAATGGCTTAAGCAACAGGTATTTATTTTCTCAGTTTTGAATCTAGAAGTCCAAGACGATGTTGGCAGGTTTGGTTTCTCCCAAGGCCTCGCTCCTTGATGTGCAGGTGCTGCGCCCTCCCCTTGCGTATCTTTCTCTGTATGTCCCAATACGCCCTGTTCATATTGAATCAGGGCCTACCCGAAAGGCCTCAGTTTTAATGTAATCACCTCTTTAAAGACCCCATCTCTAAGTACAGTCATATTCTGAGTCACTAGGAGTCAGGACTTCAACATATGAATTTTGAGAGAGCACAATTAAACCCATGACGAGGACCACAGACTTGGAAGATCAGACGTCCCAGTAGATGCTGGCACAGGTAGGATAACTGTGGAGAGACAGAAGCCTCCTCTGACCAGATGTGCCTTGTACGTCTCAGATACCAGCAGAAGAAACCCTCATGTGACTAAGGTTGCTCTGAATTTACCGAGTGATTTCTGGCATCTGAAAAACATAGCCACGAAGCAGTTATAAGAAATGAAAAAGTAGCTTTTCTCTGGTCTGTGTCTACAGTCTTAGGCTATGCTGCCCCGCGTAGACTGCCTACAGTCTTAGGCTATGCTGCCCCGCGTAGACTGCCTACAGTCTTAGGCTATGCTGCCCCGCGTAGACTGCCTACAGTCTTAGGTTATGCTGCCACGTGTAGACTGTCTACAGTGCTTGGCTGGGTCAGGGCACTGGGCTGCCAATAACTGAAAGAGATTTAGGCTAATTGGAGAAAAGCAATTTATTGAAAAGCTTCACGGAATTCGCAGAATGAATGGAAGGCTGCCCAGAGCAGGTATAAGAATGACAGGAATCCAGAAGTTGCAGAAAGACTAGAAGCAGGTATCAGGAAGGAAAACGGCCGTCTTCAAGCCAAAGCGGCCCGGACTGGAGGCTGAGCGCCTAACGCAGTGAGTGCCACCAGCGGGATGGGGAACTTCTGGCCGTTCTGTGAATTCTTGCAGCGCTTGCTCTAGATGCGAAGGCACGCGCGTATTTCCTGAGGGATTCTGGAACGCGGAGAGGAAGGTCTCGATCCTTGACTTTGTATGGAAGGCGGTACTTCCAAGTTTTCCTCCATTTCCTCTATACGCAATGGGGCGACCATCACTGCTCAAAGAGACAGAGACACCATTGGAGAGAAAGAGCAGGAGATGGGAAAACACCATAGACGCCATCTATTGCTCTGGACATAAAAAGCCCCTGGTCTGGCAGGTGTTGCAGCTTTTCAAATTATAGTACACATAGTCCAAAAGAATAGTGCACACTGAAAATGTCCTAGGCAAGGAAGGGAAGGAAATGCCGGTGGAGCCTGGAATAACTGGATAGAGGTTAACAGAGGATGTCAGGAGCGGGTGGACCTTGAAGGATGGTAGGAGCTGAGTAACTGGAGAATGAGGTGGGCACGATCCAGGGAGAGGGGTGTGTGGGCGTGTGGAGACGGGCAGGGGACGGGTGTGCAGAGTGGAGGTGGGCACTGGAAGGGGCTGCGGGCTCCTCATCCCGCACCGTGACAGATCAGCTGGGAGCCCTCCACGGGGAGCTGCCTGTGGAAACCCGCGTCTTCCGCAAGGAGGATTTTGATTTATTGGTTTAAAGGAAGCCAGTGCAGGCTCCTGAGCATCCGTGTCCCAGTGGCCCAACATCCCGCTTGTTTGACGTTTAAGATCAGAACAGCAGAGGCTGCTCAGAGGCCTGAGAACCTCGGATGTCATTAGTTTTCCTTCCAGCTACTGTTAAGAGGCTCCCTTGTACCTAGTATTTCTTTGTCTTTGGAAATCTTATTTATGCTTCTCTTTGTTTCCTATTTTCCTTCCAATTTAAACAAAAAAAATCTATTTTCCCCACATTTAAAATGATTTTTTAAAAATGCTTTGTTCCATCATATCATGAGAAACAAACTTATTTTGATTTTTTCCTAATGCAAACTAGTTTTAATTTGGAGTTGGGAAATATCTTTGCTACCAGAGGCAATAACAGCATGAGCAAGTCAGCCGCGACACCTCTGGGCACCCTAAGGTTTGAACAAACACTAAGTTGTGAATCCACCTTGGATGTGAGTGTATTTAAGTACAACTTTCTTATTTTAGTTTTAAAATAAGCATTTATTTTCTCGCCTGCCTTACTTTATGAAACATTTTTTACAGCTTATCTTTCTTTAAAATCTTTGATACATTTGGCTGATTTTGTTCTAGGTGAGGATCAATATGGATCTATGAACTTAAAAAAAAAAGGGAGAGAGATGTGGAGTTAAAACAACAACAAAAACATCACTCTTCAGTGGCTGCCACAACTCCTGCTTCTGCTTTCCCATTCGCTGCCAAGGACAGGCAACCTCAGCGATGTACCGAGTGAGACGCTGGGCAGGCGTGAAAGGTACAGTGGGAACGCTGGGACCGATGGTGTGGGGAAGGACAGGAATGAACCGTGCCTCCAATGAAGAGAGCACCGTCGCACGCCTGCCCCTTTGCAGTGTGACGTTGCTGTTGTGACATTGCTGTTCCTATAACCAGCAGGTGAGGTGTGTTCTTCAGCTCCTTGAAACCAGGCAGACCTTTTGATATGCTGAGACCAGTAGCATGTGGTGGAAGGGCCATGTGGAGAAGAGTCAGGTGCCTCAAACAACAGACAGCACAGACTGCCAGAGGAGCGAGTGAAGCCAGCCCGGACGCTCTACTTACTGCAAGCCATCAGGTCACTGCAGCTGCATGTGTGAACCCAAGTTAGACCAGCAGGACTGCCTGGATTGCCAGTGCGTAAAATTATGCAAAAGAACCAATGATTGCTGTTTTATGCCACGATTTTGGAGGACCTTGTAACAAGAACAATAAATAACTGACACAGGTGTTCAAGGCTGCAGTGAGCTATAACTGCACCACCGCAGTCCAACCTGGGTGACAGAGCAAGGGAGCCTGTCTCAAAAAAATAAAATAAATTACTGACATATGCTTATTATTTTTAAAATAATTTTCTTTTGACTTAATTCTTCAGTTCAGCTTGCTTATATGGATAATATCAAAATGAATCACTTTAATTTTCTACTATGGATTATAGTTAAGAGCTTGTCAAAAATAGACCAGATACCTCTACAACAGCAGCATTTATTCAGGTCATGGTACCTGCATGGGCAACTGAGATCCATCGTCTGGTCCCAGGTTTTGTATGTCAGGTTACAGGACGGATTCACAACATTCAATCTCACAAAACATTAACGTTCTATTTAGAATGGTCCATTTCTTAAAAATTAAAGTAATGCTGCAACGTAGGCAAGATTTTTCATCTCTTCAGCAGAAAACCCTGACCTATGTTGGTAACCTAAATGAAAAGTGAAAATATTTCGAGATATAAATGATAATTTGGATGCTATTATACTATCACAGGATCCTGATGCCCCTTATCAGTGATAAACAATGGAACCTGATAGTGCATCCCAGCAGATAGGACCTCTTCCACACTGCACAGTGTTAGAGATGCAACGAGAGGCTCCAGGCCAGGTGCAGTGGCTCAAACCTGTAATCTCAGCAGTTTGGGAGGCTGAGGTGGGTGGATTGCTTTAGGCCAGGAGCTTGAGATGGGCGTGGCCAACATAGTGAAACCCCGTCTCTACTAAAAATACAAAACTTGGCCCAGTGTAGTGGCACGCGCCTGTAGTCCCAGTGACTCAGGAAGCTGAGGCACAAGAATCGCTTGAACCCAGGAGGCAGAATCTATAGTGAGCCGTGATCATGCCACTGCACTCCAGCCTGGGCAACAGAATGAGACTCCATTTCAAAAAAAAAAAAAAAAATAGACTCTAGTGCTGGTATTCTAATTTCTAAGACTCCATATGGAAATATGGAAATACCTGTTGAGAGACACCAGCATTATATCACGCTGACATCATTGCATTGTGATCCGTTTTTCCTGGCTCTGCACTCTTGATGGAGACTTGAGAAAACTCGCTGGCAGCACATTTCTCAACATTCATATTTTTGCTTAGGTTAGTACTTTACCAATCTTATCCCCAAATTGTGGCAGATCACTCTGTCCCTACTATGTCTCCAGGA
The DNA here is from genome assembly GCF_000001405.40 of Homo sapiens. Taxonomy (NCBI): domain Eukaryota; kingdom Metazoa; phylum Chordata; class Mammalia; order Primates; family Hominidae; genus Homo; species Homo sapiens. The sequence goes on along the minus strand of NW_025791773.1, from coordinate 40,910 downwards.
AAGCAGCAGAAATCTCTCAGCCATTTTTATATCTTTGGCACATCTTCAAAGTTGATATAATTATTTGCATTCTTTCTGATTACGTGAAAACCGAGGCCTTATTTGTTATATTAAGAGTTCAAGTTCCTTAATAGTAATACTTTGGCTCATTGTTTTCTTATGAAAATATAGCTATAACATCATTTTAAAAGAGATGGGACTTAGAAAGATTCCGCTCTACTGATTTTACAGCTGTTTGGTGCAATACATAATTACTGGGTAGCTTTACTCCAGTGGGAAAATGATGCTCCAGATACTGCATTAAGCATTTTTCCTCACAATGAATGCCTAGTTTACTTTTGCACATTCTCAAATTTATATACTTCTCCCTCTTCTATTCCCATCAATAAGGCCTTTCCAGCAACTCTCCTCCTACTCCCTTTACCAAAACAAACACAAATAAATAAAATAATCAGTCAAAAGGAGGCAGGCATGAGGGTACTTTGTCAGTATTGTTATCACCTGGAGTATTAGTAAACTGCCTCAGTGGTGTGCGAGATTTCTTTCAAACCTTTGTATTTTTAAGTGGGACATGTAATTATATCACGAAAATGAGAACGGAAACAAAATTAAAGTTTTATGCTATCATTATTAATCATTCTAGTCATAATATTTAATTTTCTGTCCCCTATGACATGTATAATAACTAAGGAAATATGCCCCATTTAAAGGATTGAAGCCAGTATCCTCCATCATTTGAGGGGAATTTCCAGCCAAAATGTTTGATTGGCACTCATGAGGACAGGTGCGACCCTGCACCTGGGTCACTAGTTAATTCCTCTGGATACTTGTTTGGGTCAAAATGAGCTCAAGTGAGTAACAGGCACAAAGCCTTCGCTTTCTGTCTCGACCCAACAAGGACCTGTACAGAAGATGAGTTTTCTCATCAGCCCATTCCCAAGTATCCCACATATTCAATGAGCCAGCAGGTCATCTCCTGTTCAGCAGTTGAAAATCACCTCCGATTCAGCTGACACACAGGAAGTCCATCAATGTCCATTAGCCCAGAACAAGCGTGTCGGTCACAGCAGCTGTCAGTCTAGGCCAAAGAGGTCCTGTCAGGGCCATTGTTATTTTTGTCCTGAAGTTAGGTATGAAAGTTATGGTCATGGCAGGTTTTAATTATTTGTGTCAACAAAGACAATGGACAGTCACCCAAACTCAATAACTCTGTATTTTAAAAGCTGTAAAGAAAAGCACATGTGATAAGCTTATCAATATTTCTGATATATTATTCAGGTACTTTGGTCCTTGTGTGTCTCTGATTAGGTGTCGGCTTTTAGATTAGATGGATTGGATTGATTATGGCTTTTGAAAATTGTTATTTATATTTAGATATCTCTATATTGGACACGTAGTTGTTTGGAGAAATGAGTCTAATACCCATGTTGAAAGCAGAAACGGGATATAACGTTTTTGTTCTGTTTCTATGATCTTTTTATGAACAAGAATGTTACGCCAACTCTATTTTTTTGGAGATAAATGGGTATATGAAAATAACACCTTCAGCACGTATTGCCTAACACTCATTTGTAATTATCACGTATAATGCCTGGTTGATTACGGTTTTAACGTCTTTGCATATTGTAAGCCCCCAATGATGCTGTGACCTACTTGGATGCAGAGCCTCTTTCACTGTGTCATTATGCCTCCAATAATACAACTAACATGAATAGTAAAGAGCAATAAATAGATAGCTCCCATCCATTGAGCTCTTAGTTGCTCGTGGCTTAATGCTAAACACTTCCCATATGTATCTTAACCCTGAAAATCATTCCATGAGGCAGCAATTATTTGTGTCTTTACAGACAATGGAACAGAAGTGTATGTAATTACTAACTTGCTTATGCTTATATTTTGCTAAAAGAAAAGGTTCTCTCCCCCTTTTAGGTGCATTTGCAAGGCAGCTCTTCGGAACAAGGCACAGGCGTTCTATTTTTTTATTATTAGTAGCAGCAGCAACTGCTGCAACAGCAGTAGCCTTAGTAGCAGTTTGCTGTTTATAATCTCCTTTCTCAATTGGATTGTTTGCATCTTGAGGTCCTCTTGCTCATATTTGTATTCTTAACATCCATGAGCCACCTCTCAGGTACCACTAATACAATGTCGAGGAATAAATGGGGAGAATTGTTATGATCTTGAGCCTCGCTCCTAGAGGATCACTTCTCTGTAAGAGGGATGTGTAATTCAGGACTCCCCAGATGGGAAACCAGTATGTGTGGAAATATTATAAAGAGGTTTCACTGTAGCGTACGTTGTAATAATTTACAACATTTGTTCAAATGCATATCCTACATGGTACAGCAATTACACAGGTAATAAATCTTGTATCTGAAAACACAGAACACATGATACCCAGCCTTTTCATGCACACTTGATTTCTCCTGATTTATTAATAACTTTCTCGTGTTTAAGTGACTGTCCTTATTACGCATTGCTTTGTTTCTCACTGTGGCATGACCTTAGCTCGACAGTTGCTAAAATTCTCCCAGGAGACTTTTTAATGCTACATTTGCTTAGAAGACATGTTCTGCCTTGTGGCTAATGATATAGTTGCGTGGTAAGAAAGAAGGATGAAAGCAGAAACACACAGACAGGACATTGAGAAGCGGATTAACAACAAATACAAAGGAGGGAAACGAAAACCAATTCATTCTCTTTTTTTGCACATAGTTTTAAGCATATCATGACATTTCGAAAGTAGGAAACATCCCTACAAAGCTGGATCAAACACGATACTAACCCCAACACCACAGTTCTTCAAGTGGCAGGTGGTAAACTATAACACACCATTAACACTTTGTAAAATGTTACTTAAAATACAAATGATAAAGGGACCAAAGGCCCTGGCGTTCTCAGTTTAACTGACTTGTTTACCTTTATAGTTTAGTCACATGATATTGTTTTTACCAATGAATGTAAGTTCTCATCTTCATTTCACGCTCAATCTGTTTTTAACGATTGTGTTTGTTCACAGAAGCTTCTTCACTGGGAAAGTGAAATGCCATAGAGACCACATAACTGTGGCAATGGTAGCATATGACGTTGAATAAATGCTAAGTGCTGACTTATTTTTGCCACTAAATAATTTGATTTTTTTCTGTTAGTTCTATTTAATTACTGAGGCAGGTGACATACGCAGATATATTTTTCATAATTAACCTTATGGCAAAAGTGAAAGTGAATCTGTTTCTATAAGTGCTGATAAAAACAGGACTTTTAAAGATTTGAGTAGTTTGAGTTGCAGTGGTTCATTAAACTCTCTTTGTGAATGGAATAAGTGTTATTTATCACTCCCAAGCATCTAATACTTAAAGATTTGTTAACTCTCCTTACTTTAACTAACATATATTAATTCTAATTCCCAAAATAACATTTTTAGGAGCAGATGCTATTATTCCTATTCCTTGGGAGAGGAAACACAGGGCCAGAATAGTTCAGTGACTTGCCCAGAACATCAGTAAAATAAACATTATAACTTAAGATTTGAACCCAAGTCTTCCTATGGCTAAAGACCATTCTCTTTCCAATACATCATTCTACCTCCTAGTTTATAGTAAATTGGAGCAACCAAGTCTGTTTCAACTTATTTCTAATAGGTAAGTATGCTCTTCAATACGTTCTAAAACAATTAGCCACTATCCATAAATAATCACAGTTGGAATAGATAACTAAACAAACAAAAAGTCTCTTTTCTCTCATCGTAGGTGCCAACATGGTTACGATAGGCCCATCAAATGTGTAACTTACTTCTCAAAACTCTACAGATATCTCATAATATCATGTGAGTTGTGCACAGCCGACTATTTCCATCTCAGAGCTTACAATAACTAGTACTTACTTCAGGTTACAGGAAAATGACTGGTCAGCTGAAAGCTCAAACTACACAACTTCCATTTTTCATGTACTGGGATGTAGGGTGTAATGAAAACTCACCAGCCAAACTAAGCATAAATATAACAGACTAATATACACCAAAGAAACTTCCTCCTGGCACACTTTATAGAAACTCCATTGTCATTAAAAATTAGCACTGGACAAAATAAGTAATATTGCGTATGTAACCATATGTCAGCGTGCAGTTATAGACAACAGTTTCTCTTGTGTCATTCAAATAGGTTTTTATGTGTAGTCAGTAAATGTTATAGTAGTGTAGCTTTCAAGCGGGATGTTACTCTTTAAAGATTTCTCATCCAGGCTTGGTGGCTCATGCCTGTAATCCCAGCACTTTGGGAGGCCAAGGCGGGTGGATCACCTGAGGACAGGAGTTGGAGACCAGCCTGACCCACGTGGTGAAACCCTATCTCTACTAAAATACAAAAATTAGCCGGGGCGTAGTGCCGGGCGCCTGTAATCTCAGCTACCTGGGAGGCTGAGGCAGGAGAATCACTTGAATCCAGGAGGCGGAGTTTGCAGTGAGCTGAGATCGCACCACTGCACTCCAGCCTGGGCAACATGAAAGAAACTCCATCAAAAAAAGAAAAGAAACCCAGAAAGAAAGAAAAAGAAAGATTTATCTCTGTTTCTAGACAGACAAATATTGTAGTGAAAAAATTCAAAAAGAATGATTGCCCACAATTAGCATGTCTTTATTGCCCAGTTTAATGACACTGTTCCTAGCCCCACAAAAATGACAAGACATTTGTTATATAGAATGGACATCACCGTCCCCTTCAACGGAGAACAGGGCTAGCAGGTGGAGGGTGGCATTATAATTCACTGGGAAAAGTTCTCAATTAAATGATTGTTAAGACTCTTTTGAAGTCCAAAATTCTATACTTTTATTATTTTAAGAGCAAAAGCAGATTTGTTTATCAAGAGACTTCAGGAAAACATTTGTCTAAGGTGTGCTATCACTGAGTGGGGCTAATGGGATGGATGGGAGAATTAGTCCCCTGGCCAGTAGGCTGGAGCTCTGTAGTCCTGCATCAGCCAGGGGTGGAGGATTAAGCTGGTTAGAATAATTTGGGTTCTTTGTTTCTCAGTGCTTCTTTTTAACCTGCAAAATGGGAGTTGGAAAACTGACTCCATGGAACAGGAAAAAAAAAATAAAAGAAGTGGTTGGCACAGGTGAGTGTATACCTGGATGGCAGTGTTGACGGCTAACAGATACTGTAGCTGTGTCAGAGCACTCCGCGGCTGTCATGAAGCAAGGATCTGAACTGGAAGGGTGTCCACCCAAGACCCTGACCCCACTCTCACACTCACCATCCCAAGCAAGACTGTTGACCAGTTTGAGCTGCAGGTGCCTCATGTGTAAATAAGGGTGTGGGAGAGATGCCTGCAGAGATTATTCTCTTTTTGACCACTGAAAACATTTGCACTCTCTGACAGAAGAGTTGGAACTTAAGTTTCAAAGAGATGGGAGCAAGGCTGACAACAAAAATATCCTAAAATTGAACCAGAATAATGGGAAGCCTCCAGAAAAAAAGGTGTTTTACTTTTCATTCTTCAATATATTTTCTCTTCTTAAAGCTCTTTATAAAGTTGTGTTTTCTACTTCAGAGTGGGGAAGTCATCATCTTTTTCTTAGAAATTTTGTCAGATAAGTTTTTACACACTTTCAAAATTGAGAGGATAGATATTTTGAGTTTATAGTTTAGTACTGATTGGTACTTGGTTTGTTAAGTAAAGTGATTGAGAAAAAAACTTTTTTTTTGTTTTGGAAAAAGTTTAAAAGTGGCTTAGTGGTTTAGAAAAGTGGTTGTTAGATAGGGAAAATCAGACTCACAGGTCTTAAACAGTGAATGGAGTTTATTGGCTTACAAACGAGAAAGTCCAAGGATAGACTGGTCTTTAGTCAAAGTGCGAGCGGATCTCTGTTCCCATGTTTTGGGGGATTTCTTTGTGTCTCCATCGATTGCCTGGCCTCTTTAGCTTCAAAATGCTTTCCTTGTGGTCATATGATTGCTGTCAGCTTCTTTTCCATACCCAGTACGAGAAACATGAGCACTGTCCTCCACTGTTGAACAGATGTCCTGGTTTTGCTCTCACTGGACCCTCTGGAGAGGTCCAGATTGAATTAATCTATGGCCATAGCAATGCCTGGTATTGGTTTAGGACTGAGGTAGATGGAACAATGATGAAACAATCCTAATGACAAAAAAGTGTAATCAGAAAGCAGGGAATACCCTTGGATCTGAGGATGAAGCAAATCCCACCCAAACTTTCTAGTTACTACATTATGGAGTGGAGAATAGTAGAGGAGAATGCTGGTTGGTAAGGCAACCCCAGTAACCACTGCAGAGTTCCACAGAAGTCAGTCGGACTCCATGCCTTCATAAAATTATCGTGGTAGAAAGAATTAAAGACAACTAGTCTCACCTTCATATCTTACTAATGATGAAACTAAAGGTCCAAAAGTTTAGAAGGTTTGACCAAGAGAAAGTAGCAGATCTGGAAGTGGGCTCCACCTCACTGACGCTAGTGCAATCAGCTTTCTACTAGACGTCACTCATGTATTTATTCATTCAATATGCAGTGAGCATTGCTGTCTCCAGCATGCTCCTGAAAAGTGTCTGCCTTCACAGCCCAATTCAAAGGCCACCTTCTCCAATGAGAATGTTTCAGTCTTCTAGTAAAAAATTCTCTCTCCATATTAGGCCCTATCGTAGCATTTTATGCCTCTTTCAATTCCCTTCTACTTCTACTCACGAATTTTTTTCTTTATCTCTCCTACTGGAATGAGAGTTCCTTGAGCAAAAAGGCTGTGTCCTGTGCATCTGTCTATCCTTTCAAGAGCTGTCCACAATTTCAGACGTGGTCTGCATATTAACATTTGAATACATGAGTAAATGAACATATAATTTTTGGCAATGTTTTGGCTCAGGAAATGGCGTTTTGAGAATTTATTAGTAGCAGACAATCTGTCTTTTTCTTGACCCACAGCATGGTGTTAATGTCCCCTTCATAGCTGGAATTGAACCAGACTTGCTTTTGTTGACCCAGCATTTGGACTCAGGCAAATGCTGATGTGGATGAAGTTTGCCTTTGTTCCTTCTGCACTGTCCTTTCCAGCATCACTTTCTCCTGAAGGTCCCATGTGGGTAGATAGCAGTATCACAGGTAACTTTCCCCAGCCCTATCAAGATGTAAATCAGTCTGTTCTATTCCAGCAGACTCTTCTAGGAATCATTTGAGATAAATTTATTCCAACTTTACTTTCCTAACACTCTCAGAGGTATCTGATTTTTATAGGCCCTTTTGAGGTAGAAGCTTTAAGACATCTGAATTAAATTTTGAGTTTTAAATAGCATGATATGATCATGGTGTGACCTTTAAGCACTAGGTGGTCTTCTTTTTCCTTTCTCTACATAATTTTCGTTTCTACTTGCCTATCCATAAGGCCAGCCCATCCTTTACCATGGGATGGTTCATCTCACAGTATCCCTTGAAATTACCTTATAGTGGGGAAGGAGCAGGCATTGAGAGAACATAGCAAACTTTCCTACAAGGGAGTGCACCTAATTGGACCTACTGGGACTCCAGTCTTCCTTGGAAAATGCAAAATTGATGTTATATTTGCTATGAGAGAAGCTAAAATTACCTGCAACACAAGTGTCACTGCCTCAGAGTCATAGCAGATGTACTGCAGATGCTGTTATGCAGGACAGAATCTACGTTTATTAAGAGGCCACACATTTTTGGGGACTGAATCTGCGGAGAGAGAGAGGTATTGAGACATATTGAGATGAGTCCTTTCTGTCTGTCAATGGTACATTACGACCGATTTGGATAGGGGAGTAAATCTTTAATTGCAAATGATATAGCTAAAACTTGGTCGTTTATCTTTGCTGTCTTATTACCACATATCAATGAGTGCCCTTCAAGTGAAGTGAGAATGGTCTCCAAGAGCAATTTTCACCATACCATTAGAATTTGTGTATATGAAATAAGAGTAAATTATTTCATGAATAGACAGTCCACTCATAGGGAAAAAAGATGACTGATTTTTTAAAACTCTACCCTTGCCTTAGACTATTTTGCTACTTTCCTTTAGTTTATGCTACATTTTTTTTTCAGAAAAAAATATGGATTGACTTCTTAATATGTGTCCAAACAGCACAGGCTTGGACATAACAATAAGACCAGGAAATACAAATGGACTGTTGAAAGGAGCGTTTACAGTGGAAACGCAATGAAAAGTGTGGATTCAAGCTGTCTTTATATTCCTATGTTTTCAGGGCTTTTGACATTTATAACCCTTTTGGCTTTAAAATTCAACTTTTCCATACTTCATCTAAGTGATAAGGTATATTTCTTTTGACAAGGTCTAAGAAAAATAATCCTTTCAGTTATTTTGAATTATGAAAAAAAGTGGGTGAACCAATAGCTAAAATGATTGAACACAAGCGTTTCAAATGTGGCTTGTGGCCAAGCCTCCAAAGCAATCCCTGCATTTAAAGGAAAATACACAAAGAGGTGCACAAAATGGAATTGCTTCTTCTAAGAGCCTCGCTGGCATTTACTGAAGTTTGACTCCAGGTTAAAAGAGACATTGTCATTGCTTGTGCTAGGTGGGACCTACTTCCAAACAAAATATTTAAGGACACAAGATTCTTAAGAATAGTAATTTGGACTTTGAAAAAATACGAAATTGTTGATAGATTTTGTACATCCTCCACATTTGCACTTCAGAGGACAGAGGATGCTTGAAACGGGATGGAATTCTCTTCGAACATATTCAGGAATATTCATTCTGTCTTACTCGTTTCTCTCTCTATACTTTGAATATGGAGAGAGCCCTTTCCACCTAATCATTTTTTTGGATGGAAATAGAAATAAGCCAATCTACATTCTTGTTTTTGTTTTAAGACAAAGTCTCCCTCTGTCACCCAGGCTGGAGGGCAGTAACACTATCTCTACTCACTACAACCTCTACCCCCCGGGCTCAAGCAATTCTCCTGCCTCAGCCTCCCAAGGAGCTGGGATTACAGGCACGCTCCACCACAGGCTAATTTTTGTGTTTTTTACAGAGATGGGGTCCCACCATGTTGCCCAGGCTGGTTTCGAACTTCGATACGCAAGTGATCCGCCCACCTTGGCCTGCTGGAGTGCTGCGATTACAGGTGTGAGCCACTGTGCCTAGCCTCTACACCGTTTTTATTCTTCCTCTTCAAGCTTCCTGTGGAGCAGACCCACCCAACATCTAGTGATATGGTAACAGTTTATTTATTTTTTGCTGCCAGAGGTTTTATTTTTCCACAAAATAAAATTTTAAGAAAACAAAAACTTACCCATTTAGGTGTTAAAAGACTGTCTCTTTTAATAAGTTTGTGAAAAAAACTTTAAAAATGCCTCACAGTTCATTCCTTCTCTTTCTCAAAAAGGGGATCTGATAACTATAAAATGTTGTGATACCTCCCGGTCATTTATCATGTCTTAATTAATGTAATCTACTAAAATATAGCCATGCTTTGGGATCAGGTAAGTATATAAAATTATTTTACCCTACAGTATAAAACTAAATTTTTTTGTTCTATTTTGGTAGCTGTTGAATAATTTAAAACTATTTTCCTGGGTATCTGTGTAACCACCCAACTGGTTCACTTTACCCATTGCCTGGACAAAGCCAATTTATCAAGATAGGTTGACTGCTATAGAGAAAGAGTTATTCATGCAGAGTAGGCTGTGCAGGAGACTGGAGCTTTATTATTACTCAAATCAGTCTCCCAAATAATTAGGGACTGGAGTTTTTAAGGATAATTTGCTGGTTAAGGGGCCTGTGGATCAGGAATTCTGGTGGGACAGAGATGAAATCATAGGAAGTCAAAGCTGTTCTCTTGGCTGACTCAGCTACTGGCATGGGGGGCGGGGCACAGAGCAGACCAGTCAGTTTATGATCTGGGTGGTGCCAGCTGATCCATCCAGTGCAGGGTCTGCAAAATATCTCAAGCACTGATCTTAGGTTTTACAATAATGATGTTATCCCCAGGAGCAATTTGGGGAGGTTTAGAATCTTGCAACCTCCAGTGCATGACCATAATTTCTAATCTTATGACTAATTTGTTAGTCTCGCAAAGGCAGTCTAGTCCCCAGGCAGGAGGAGGGTTTGTTTTGGGAAAGCGCTGTTATCATCTTTGTTTAGAAGCTAAGCCATAAATTAAGTTCTTCCCAAAGTTAGTTCAGCCTACACTCTGGAATGAACGAGGACAGCTTGTAGGACAGAAGCAAGATGGACTCAGTTAGCTCAGATCTCTTTCTCTGTCATAATTGGCTCAGTTATAATTTTTGCAAAGGTAGTTTCATTAGTGTTGTTTGTTTATACCTTTTTATGTAATATTCTCTCTTGTCTCTCACTTTTAAGCTATCATGTTTTTGCTTCTTTAAATGTTATTGTTCTAGTGGCCACTTATTCCTTCCAAAGCATCATTTATAATTTTCATTGAGCTGCTTAACAGAATAACTCAGTCTCTTAAAAAAATCAGTCCTTTTAAAGTATTAATCTGATGTGTTAATATTTCTGCTCAAAAACTGTAGTAACTTCCCATTTCACACAGTGCAAAAGCTGTTCCCAAAAGGGGCTGGCCAGGGCCTCTGGGACCTCCTCCTCTCCCCGCCCGTGACCCCACATCCCTGTCATTCCTTTGTCCCTGGCTCTAGCTCTTTTCAGCACACTCAAGACTGCTGAGTCATTTGCTGTCCTGGAACCCACCATGCATGCTCCTCCCTTAGAGTTTTGTATGGCTATTTCCTCTTCCTAATGGCTATTTCCTCTTCCTAACGGCTATTTCCTCTTCCTAACGGCTACTTCCTCTTCCTAAAATGCTCTTCCCCAGCTATCCCCCTGCCGAACTTGTTTGCACTCTTTTAGCCTTTGCTGAAATTTCACCTTCACAGTGATATCTAACCTGACCCATGCCCCTATTTAAAGTTGTCACGTGTGCACTCTCCACTACTCGCACCTCTGGTACTCTGCTCTATTTTATCTGAAGTATTGATCATCTTAGAACCCGCAATATACTTCACTTATTTATTACGCTTTTTTTTCTTTTTCCCCTTGCTAGTAGGCAAGGATATTGGTCTGTTTTATACACTGTGGCTTCCCTGGGCCACACTGAAAGAAGAAGAATTGCCTTGGGTCACACAAAAATACACTAACAATAGCTGATAAGCTTTAAAAGCACATTAAAAAATCTCATAATGTTTTTAAAAAGTTTATGAATTTGTGTTGGGCTGCATTCAAAGCTGTCCTGGGCCGCATGTGGCCTGTGAGCTGCAGGTTAAACAATTTTCCCTACCACATAAAGTAGTGGAATAGCATGTAGTATATAGTAAACGAGAGAAAAATTTTTAAATCTAATGAATATATTTGCAACATGAGTTCATGGTTTTAGAAGTCAATAATATCTAAAATTGTTAGGGCTGTTCATGAATAATTTTTAAAATTTTTGTCAAAATTATTTTGTCATGTATTGTGACTGCTCAGATTCCTTCTGTGCTGCATCTGAACAGTGAGATTCTTTTAAAGTGCTTTAATTTGAATTAGTAAGATTTGCAGATATCTGCTCTTTGAATAGAAAATATATTACTGTTAACAGAAAGTGAAGTTTTGTGATCCAAAACCACAGTCTAACTCTGTATTTTATTATTAAGCTTTAGAAAAACCAGAATAGAAGAATTCTTAATATGCATTTATTATTACTGTCTTTATTATTATTATTTGGTTATTATAGTAAAACAGTCAGATATTTTAGAAACAATAAAAAATGTATAAATCCTCCAAGGTCAACATCTTTTGGACTCCTCAGTGAAATAACTCTCTTATAATACCTCAGTAGATATAAAAGTTTGACTTAAGTTGGGGATAAATAGAGACTTTTTGCAAATCACTGCCTCTTACATCTAATTAGCCTGAGTCTAGTCATATTGGCATATTCATTACAAAAGACTGGAAAATGTAGTCTGTATCTCTGCAACTATGAACATATGACAAAAAAAAAAAGAATTGATTTCTGAGTTACAACATATGTATATCACCCTGACTGGGCTTCTCATGCCTGTGTTTTTCTGTGTTAGCAGTAAAATGTTACCAACATTCTGACTTCAGTGAGCAGGACTATCTGAAGATGCGGTTTGAGGTTTGCCTTGCCTTATAGCAGGAGGGATATAGGAAGACAGCAGGTGTTTATTTGATTTGCATTGAAATGATTTGCACTGAAGTAATTTCATTTGGTCCCACTCTGAACTTAGTATGATAGAAGCCTAGTTCTTGCCCCTGTTTCCTATTTATTCTAATTAATTATTTTCTTTTATTCTAGCTTTTCTGTAACTCTTATAGTCTACTCTGTACCCAACTTCTTAATTTTCCTGTTTCAGCAATAACTGGATTTCTACTTATGGATTCCAAGCTTAAGAGCACAGCTCCTTAATGGTAGCCATGATACCACCCTGAGGCTGCAGTTCTGTCTTTCTTGCTTGCTATTTATTGCCTTCTAAATGTGTCAGTCCATTCGCATTGTCATACAAAATCCCCAAGGCTGGGTAATTTATAAAGAAAAGAGGTTTAATTGGCATGTGGTTCTGCAGATTGTACAAACATAGCACCAGCAGCTGCTTGGCTTCAGTTGAGGGCCTCAGGAAGCTTCCACCCAGGGAAGAAGGTGAATGGGGAGCCAGCATATCACAAGGCAAGAGTGAGAGCAAGAGAGAGAAGGTCGACGTGCCACACACGTTTAAACAACCAGATGTCACGTGAACTCACAGCAGAACCCACTCATCACCAAGGCGATGGCACGAAGCCATTCATGAGGGTCCCACCCCCATGGTGCAAACACCTCCCATCAGGTCCCACCTCCAAGACTGGAGATTACATTTCAACATGAGATTGGAGGGGACAAAGACTCAAACCATATCATTAACCCATTCCTCCCGAATAGATGTCGAGATTGGAGGGGACAAATACTCAAACCATATCATTAACCTATTCCTTCTGAATAGATATCGAGATTAGAGGGGACAAATACTCAAACCATATCATTAACCTATTCCTTCTCAACAGATATCCAGATTGGAGTGGACAAATACTCAAACCATATCATTAACCTATTCCTTCTGAATAGATATCGAGATTGGAGGGGACAAATACTCAAACCATATCATTAACCTATTCCTTCTGAATAGATATCGAGATTGGAGGGGACAAATACTCAAACCATATCATTAACCTATTCCTTCTGAATAGATATCGAGATTGGAGCGGACAAATACTCAAACCATATCATTAACCTATTCCTTCTGAATGGATATCGAGATTGGACGGGACAAATACTCAAACCATATCATTAACCTATTCCTTCTGAATGGATATCGAGATTGGACAGGACAAATACTCAAACCATATCATTAACTTCTTCCTTCTGAATAGATATCGAGATTGGAGGGGACAAATACTCAAACCATATCATTAACCTATTCCTTCTGAACAGATATTGAGATTGGAGGGGACAAAGAGTCAAACCATATCATTAACCCATTCCTCCCGAATAGCTATCGAGATTGGAGGGGACAAAGACTCAAATCATATCATTAACCTATTCCTTCTGAACAGATATCCAGGACCTTGGACTCCATGTCTCGGCAGTGAATTGCGAGCTATCCTTTTGCCCCTGTGAACAGATATCTCAGTTTTGCACCACCTTAAGATTTCTGTTTTGCCATTTCTATTACTAAAATAAACACACTTTTCCTTTGCTTCATTTAAGAAACTCCAGGTTATTTTCTTACCAACCGGATATGTTTGGATTTTGTTCGGATTCCTCTGGTCAGGATTTTCCTGCTGTCACTGGGATTCTGCTTATATCATCTTCCTGAACTACTGTTTTATAAAATATTCTGTCAAAATAATAATTTCAGTATAAAAATAAGCTTATGTAATTTATACATAAGGAAAGATAACATTTTTATGCTGCTCGTGAGAAGATAAACATATAGCAAAATTTAAATAAAATGTAAACACATGCAACTATGAGTCAAAAGTAACGCTATTTGAAAGAATGTTCCATGAAATGCAGTTGTTCTTCAGTCTCCATGGGAGATTGGTTCCAGGAGCCCTTGTGGATACCAAAATCCATCAATGCTCACGTTCCTCAGTACTTTCAAATCATTGTCATGTACTCTATGCATAAAGATTATTTTCAAAATGCTAACAGCAATTATTCTATATACTCATCATATTGAACTACTGGGGCATCGATGTATGAAGCACATATCTGTGCCATATGTGTTTACAAATTTTCTAGAAGTGGAATCAATAAGCATTGAATTCCTCATGATGGATGGTACTTGGTGTGCAGCTTAGGGTTCCTCTTGCCCATAGGGGCCCAAAGCCTGTGGACATATTTAAACAAGCTTAGTATTATACCTTCTTATACTCTCATGTAGGATTCTTTCCAGCTGTGTTAGTTGCTCTTTCTATTATAGATTTCAGGCCATAATGCTTGCTTTTAATATTTCAACCCAAAATATAGCATAGTATCTTATCACGCAGAAGGACTGTAATGAGACACAATGGAAAGTATTGAGAGGTGACCTTCTGCCCACCTGCTTCTGGCTCTTGATGCATGTATTAGCCATGAAGAAATGTCAGGTAATTCTCCACCGGCCCCTTACTGGCTCCTGATGTATGTGTTAGCCCCATGTGGAAATGTCAGGTAACTCTCCACCGGCCCCTTATTAAGAAAGAGACTTCTGAGCTTAAGAGTCCACCTTTGATTTGCTCTGCCACTCTTTTGGCTAAGATACTTGAACTACACATCTGGCTGAGTTTATTAAACTCCCTGAAATCTCCAGTGCCAGGAGGCCAGCTCCGTTTGCCTGGCCCTGTCAAGTGGCATCAGTCCTTCCTAAGAGAGTTGCTGTGAGCACGTAAAATATCTTTCAAGTCTCATCTGATAAATTTCTGCAAATGAAAAATATTATGATGTTGGTCTAGAGAATATGAAATTCCAACACAGAAAAGTCGTGGTTCATATCACATTTGAAAACTGAAATCAATTCATGTTTTTTTTGTTTGTTTGTTTTTTCTTTCCCTTTTTTTTTTTTTTTGAGATGGAGTCTCGCTCTGTTGCCCAGGCTGGAGTGCAATGGCATGATCTCGGCTCAATGCAACCTCTGCCTCCTGAGTTCACGCCATTCTCTTGCCTCAGCCTCCTGAGTAGTTGGGGCTACAGGCGCCCACCACCACACTCGGCTAATTTTTTGTATTTTTAATATAGATGGGGTTTCAGTGTGTTAGCCAGGATGGTCTAGAACTCCTGACCTCGCGATCCGCCCCCCTCAGCCTCCCAAAGTGCTGGGATTACAGGCATGAGCCACTGCGGCTGGCCCAATTCATGTTTTTCAATATGAACATTCTAGAAGTTCATGTTGCTTTGTTTCACCTGAAATGGATTAAACAAGAACAGGAAAAATGAAGCAGTTTGGTTTTTAAGGTTCAGGCTTACTTGGATTTGAAGTATTGCCCAGCTAGCACACTCCTCTCTATTTAACTGATGGCCTGTCACGTACTGTATGCCCCAATCTGCCCGACTACAATAAATGATATGGAAGCGGGGCTGCCTGATAAGGTTGCCCAGATTTCCTCACCTGGAGGAAATGTTCTGTCAGGTATATAGTCATTTTGTGCTTGAGAGAGAGTTCAGGGCTTTGTAGTTATCCAAGCAAGTCTTGCCTGCAAGAGAAAATACAGTTCCTGTTGGAAAATATGGTTTCTGTCTACCAGGAAATAAATTTTAATCCTTGTTTTACACTGAAGTCATATTTACTGAATGTCCTCATATTAGTCTGAAGTGGTTTGGACTTAGGTGGCATTTGGGTTTGTCCTACGCCCTGTCTGATGTGCATGTAGGTCATCTCTTTCCTCCAGGCAGCGGTCTCCTGCCATTTTGTTGAGAGTATTTTAGGTGATTTATTTTGGTCATGGTCTGAGACTTCAAGGCAGGGATTACCTGAGAGGCAACTAGCATTTAGTTTGCTTCTCATTTGTATTCTTCCTCAGGTAAAAGAATAAAACACTTTTGCTACAACAGACCAAAAGTCAGATCCCAAAACCTCATTTCTTTATGAGCTCACAAATTAGGTGGCAACGGCTTTTCAGAGTGATCATTAATGTAATTAATTAGCATCCCTCCGATACTGTGGAAGACCAAATATTTTCAGGTATGGCCATCTTTCAGACAAAGGAAAAAGTCTCTTTCAAGATGCTTTCAGATTTTTTGTTCTGAAACATTTCTTAATTTTTGTTTTGTTTTGCTTTGTTTTGAGACAGAGTTTCACTCTTGTTGCCCAGGCTGGAGTGCAATGGTGCAATCTCGGCTCACCACAACCTCTGCCTCCCAGGTTCAAGGCGATTCTCCTGCCTCAGCCTCCCGAGTAGCTGGGATTACATGCATGTGCCACCACGCCCGGCTAATTTTGTATTTTTAGTAGAGACCGGGTTTCTCCATGTTAGCCAGGCTGGTCTCAAACTCCTGACCTCAGGTGATCAACTCGCCTCAGCCTCCAAAAGAGCTGGGATTACAGGTGTGAGCCACCATGCCCGGCGTCTTACATTTTTTAAGTTTTAAAAATTGTCAACCATGTATGTCAGTTGTATTCAGCATTTGTAATATGGATTCATTTGAAAAGATTAAATTTTAAAAATCAGAGCGGAAAATCTGTTTTTTCAATGATCCAGACAGATCTAAAGAGTGTGATGTTGT
The DNA here is from genome assembly GCF_000001405.40 of Homo sapiens. Taxonomy (NCBI): domain Eukaryota; kingdom Metazoa; phylum Chordata; class Mammalia; order Primates; family Hominidae; genus Homo; species Homo sapiens. The sequence goes on along the minus strand of NW_025791773.1, from coordinate 24,171 downwards.
ATCACATGGAGACTGGTCCTTTTCATCAGCTATTTGTAGTGTTCCCTCCTTTGTCAGCTCAATATCAATTCTCTTGAAGGCTGGCAGGATCCCACAGTAGATCAATCCATTATGTGGTGGGAGCTATGGGTGGTGGCCATTGAAGGCATAGAGGAATACGTTAACTAAGAAGGAAGCGGAGAGAGTTAACTAATGAATAATACATTGAATGAATAGCGAGATCCCATTGTATACTTATATTTTAACTTAGCGTTTTCCTCCTTTGGAATCAGTTGCTTCCTCGTATAATTTTATTTGGCCATAATTCTAATTAGGAAACTGACACAAGAGGCAGCATCTTCTCTTCTTTCCACTCCTTCTAATTTTCACTGTGGATATCTGGGCCGTTCACTTCCAATCTGGAATTTTAGTTGAATATTAAGAAATATGATTGGAATGGATAATTTCACAGGACTCTACTTATGTTTTTAGTATTAATACAAATTTTTATGTTGGAGTCTCTGATTTATCCCAGGCATACAATATGTTCTATGCTCTGCCCACAAGATGTACAAAAGATAATTTAATGAAGCCTGGAGTTATCAAGCTTTATGTCCTAGGGCACCATTAACATCGCGTTAAGACATAGAATCAAACTTCATGTATTTCTTCCTCTCCTTCTCCCTTCATCTCTTACTCTTTCTACTGCATTTCTCTTTTCCACTTCACAGTTGTTCTTCTCAATTAAGTTCTCCTGTAATTCCCCAAATCATATTTTGTTCCTGATGTTGATTTTGTTCAATTTAATGTTGCCTCCTCTGAACTTATATGCAAATTATATCCAGATATTATTGTGTCATTTTAATGGACCAAACTGTCTTTATTTTTTTTAATAATTTTAGGGTAAAAGCTGAAATATCAAATCTGTATGTTACAATGCTTTTAGTGCATACTCAAGAACAGCTTTTGCAATTGCTGAAAATAACATTATAAATATTAATTTGTATTACCAACGTTCTTAATATCTATGTACATTTACTTTTAAGTTTAATAAATGTTCTTGACTTTAAGATCATTCACGATTTTCCACTTGATAGGACATGTTTTGAATTTATACCATGGGGAGTGGTGGTTTGAGGGTAGAAATGATTATTGAGAAAAAGTGGAGGAAAAACACATCTTTATTTAGCAATTTGAAAAAAAAACACTGGATTGTTCACATGTCAGCTCCTGTTTCCTACAGAATTCTACTAGTCACCATTTACACACCACTGAGGTCTCATAAGAGAAAATATTAAACTGCCATAAATTTCCATTATGGTTCCCATTATATCATCCTTAAAATATTCGGTCACTCGATTATTTCTGTAAAAAAGTCTATCTTTGGGCCCAGCGCGGTGGCTCACACCTATAATCCCGGCACTTTGGGAGGCCGAGGTGGGTAGATCACGAGGTCAGGAGATCAAGACCATCCTGGCTAACATGGTGAAACCCCATCTCAACCAAAAATACAAAAAATTAGCCGGCGTGGTGGCAGGTGCCTGTAGTCCCAGGTACTCGGGAGGCTGAGGCAGGAGAATGGCTTGAACCCGAGAGGCGAAGGTTGCAGTGAGCCGAGATCGCACCACCGCACTCCAGCTTGGGTCACACACACACACACATGCACACACACACATACACACACACAATCTATCTTTGACTGAATAAAAATGTTTCCATCCACTGTTAACACTGCTGCTTTAAAAGAATACGTGTCTTAGAAAAATAAAGGAAGAATAAAAAATTTTTAAAAGGAGGAGGAGCAAAAGGTTCTTTCCTAATACTATAAATGCAATTTATGGAGACAAAAAGACATGATGGAAAATATGGTCTCAGGCCATCAATAATAGAGGTCTGGGAACCAGCAGGAGGCAGTAGCTGGGGTAGGGTTCTTTTCCAGGTGAAGTGTAGCATCTTCCAGAGTGGCTCTTTAGCTATTCATTGGTTGAGTTTTCATGACAGTAGGTGGCAGACATGAAGTGTGGCACCTTCCAGAGTGGTTCTTTAGCTATTCATTGGTTGACTTTTTGTGACAGTAGGTAGCAGACATCGTTATTTTCCTACTCAGTATCTCTTCCTTTCTTTTGTGCTAAGTAGAGTTCCATTTATTCAGTTCCTCGGGCCTCAGAGAATGGCACCCTGTCCCTGGCCCACGGAGTGGCACCCTGTGCCTGTCTCATGGATACATTATTTTTCATCAAAGCCAATGTTTGTAATTTCCATTCCTTTGATCAGTGGCTTGTAGAGAGGTAGACATGTAACTTACTAAGTCACTTCTGGCGAGTGAAACTTGAGAAAAGATTTAAGACAGACAAAAGCAGAGGCTGCTAGAAAAAAAGATTTTCTCAGTTATAAGAAAAAGAACTGAAAGAGAGAGTCCCGCCTCTGCTGTATCTGGATGTGATCATCTTGCCATCAGCATGAAGATGAGATCAATAGAGGGAAAAAGACAGAGCCAGGAGAATTAAAGAAAAGTGATCAATGTTCTCGCAATGCCGTGACAAGAGTTACTCTATCTCTGAACCTACGTTTTAGCTAATACATGTCTTTATTATGTAAGTTCATTTGAGTTGGTTTTTCTATTATTTAGGTCAATATTTTCTATCGGATAAAACTTTTTTTAAAAAATGAAATAATGACCAGGCTTGTCTGTGAAATTTTTGCTTAGTAATTTCTGGTTTTGTATAAACATTGTTAATTTTCATTACTTTAAATTGATTAAATAAAATAAAGCCAAAAACACATTTCTAATTTAGGTTGGCAGACCTCCAATCTTCCTCCACTTTAATCCACCACTCGCACCATGCTAGAGTGATTTTCACCAATCTCATCATGGCACTCCAACTTAAAGCTGTCCAAGTGTGTTTCACCACGTAAATGTGGCAGAAAACTCCTTAGTACAGCTCTTAAACCATGACCCGTCTAGCATGATCTCCTCTATGATTTCAGTTGCTTTAATTGAGGCATTCAAAGCCTTATTATGCCAAATACAGTCAGGTTACACAAGCTACCAAATACTATCAGAGTTCTCACTTCCCTAAAATCCATTCACATAGACTACTTGCAGTCAATCTATGGAAATGCTTGGAATAATAATGCAACAATCAGTTAATCTAAAGATATTGTTGTTAATAACTTCAGATATACTAAGACAAATCTGTATGTCTGATATCTAAATATGTCTTGCAACACTAAAGTTCAACTTTTCATACAAGGCTGTGTTGCTTTCGTTCCTTTGAACTTTTAGAACTAGTGTCTTGATAACATTCCATAATAAATTGAATAAGAATAAAGTTTCATGTTTTTTCAAAGTAGACTCCACACTGTAACTAAGTAATCTGAATATTTTTAGCAGCTTTCATAATAATAACTATTGCTTATTTATTGTTTATTATGGGCTTGGCACCTAACATACACAGACACGCACCTGAAGTAACGTGTGCCGAGGAGCTGAAAACTCACCAGGAAAAGAAAACACCAGACTATGTTGGTTGATCACTGTCTTCTACGACCGTTTGGAACTGTAGTAACTGTCTGAGCAGCAGCAGCAGAGTACTTTGTTTTCAAAGTAATGCAAAATTTTATGCTTCCCTAAACCTTTATTATATTTTTATAAAACAATTTGCCTAATGTTGAATTTGTATAATTCTAGAGTACGTAACCTGTAAAGTTTTGAAGGTAGTTATTTCTTTTGAGCCACACAAAGGCCCTTTAGCTTTATTGCCTTCCCCTCCCCCCGCCACCCTTATATTTTCTCCCAGCATCAGCCCAAATAGAGTTGAGTGGGTATTAGAAGACTCTCTTTCATTGTGAAATTGTCTTTATATGCTGTTGTTGTTCTTATCTTCGGGTCCAAGTAAAATCTATTTCTTAGAGCAGCAAGGAACAAGTCAGCAATACCTTTATTGTGCCTCCTTGAAGGTGTCAGAGAGAGCTTTCAAGCAGGAGTGATGGAGATGTCATTTCAGAGGGAATGGGCAGCTGGATGCTTTCGAGCAGGAGTGATACAGACGTCATTTCAGAGGGAACGGGCAGCTGGACACTTTCGAGCAGAAGTGATACAGATGTCATTTCAGAGGGAACGGGCAGCTGGACACTTTCGAGCAGAAGTGATACAGACGTCACTTTAGAGGGAACGGGCAGCTGGACACTTTCGAGCAGAAGTGATACAGACGTCACTTCAGAGGGAATGGGCAGCTGGACACTTTCGAGCAGGAGTGATACAGACGTCACTTCAGAGGGAATGGGCAGCTGGACACTTTCGAGCAGAAGTGATACAGACGTCACTTTAGAGGGAATGGGCAGCTGGACACTTTCGAGCAGAAGTGATACAGACGTCACTTTAGAGGGAATGGGCAGCTGGACACTTTCGAGCAGGAGTGATACAGACGTCATTTCAGAGGGAATGGGCAGCTGGACACTTTCGAGCAGGAGTGATACAGACGTCACTTCAGAGGGAATGGGCAGCTGGACACTTTCGAGCAGGAGTGATACAGACGTCACTTCAGAGGGAATGGGCAGCTGGACACTTTCGAGCAGAAGTGATACAGACGTCACTTTAGAGGGAATGGGCAGCTGGACACTTTCGAGCAGGAGTGATACAGACGTCACTTTAGAGGGAATGGGCAGCTGGACACTTTCGAGCAGGAGGGATACAGACGTCACTTTAGAGGGAATGGGCAGCTGGACGCTTTCGAGCAGGAGTGATACAGACGTCACTTTAGAGGGAATGGGCAGCTGGACACTTTCGAGCAGAAGTGATACAGACGTCACTTTAGAGGGAATGGGCAGCTGGACACTTTCGAGCAGGAGTGATACAGACGTCACTTTAGAGGGAATGGGCAGCTGGACGCTTTCGAGCAGGAGTGATACAGACGTCACTTCAGAGGGAATGGGCAGCTGGATGCTTTCGAGCAGGAGGGATACAGACGTCATCTCAGAGGGAATGGGCAGCTGGACACTTTCGAGCAGAAGTGATACAGACGTCATTTCAGAGGGAATGGGCAGCTGGACACTTTCGAGCAGAAGTGATACAGACGTCACTTTAGAGGGAATGGGCAGCTGGACACTTTCGAGCAGAAGTGATACAGACGTCACTTTAGAGGGAATGGGCAGCTGGACACTTTCGAGCAGAAGTGATACAGACGTCATTTCAGAGGGAATGGGCAGCTGGACACTTTTGAGCAGGAGTGATACAGACGTCACTTTAGAGGGAATGGACAGCTGGATGCTTTCGAGCAGGAGTGATACAGACGTCACTTTAGAGGGAATGGGCAGCTGGATGCTTTCGAGCAGGAGTGATACAGACGTCACTTTAGAGGGAATGGGCAGCTGGATGCAGTTACACAACGAGGGATGAACGGCGTGCTCATCTGCAGACAGTGGCAGTTCTTGCTGTGGGCTTCAGCTCTCACTTTGAGATCACTCATGTAAACTTGGTGACATATACACGCACCTTACATTCTGTGCACAGTTATGTTTGTATTTTCCCTTTCTATTCCATGTCACAACATACAAAACAGCCACAGGATCAATCTGGGAGAGGCAGTTCGTCTGAATTCAGCAGGAGTAAGGGGAACAGGCAGAGCTCTGACATACAGCCTGAACAGATGGATTCAAGGTCATAAGTCACAGGTGGCCAGAAACCAAAGACAGAACACCGGTATCCACAGATTTATTCTGGGATCAATGGTAACTGCATGATTCTGAATCCATGAATTTGGGAATTTCTGAAGCAATTTGTCTTCTTGGAAAGTATAAAACAAGCAGACTATCTCTGCCTGCATAAAAGGGCTATCTGGATTTGAAAGGATTCTGACCAACAAATACAGTAAGTCTGTCCTCTGGAATGCAAATTCCTCAGAAAGCTAACAGATAATACAGGGAGTATTAGCTGAGTAACTTTGGGGGATTCTGGTTTAAATAAGGTTAAAAAGAATCTTTCCTATAAGGATTTTCAGAGCTTATAATACATTTCTAAAACATATCAGATCACGGAAGCTTTCAAAACTAAATATCTGGTGGAACTAGTGCTCTGCAGAAAACTTTTTGAGGAAAGGACACCCTATTCAATAAACGGTGCTAGGATAACTGTCTGGCTACATGCAGAAGAATGAAACTGAATCCTCATCACTCACCTTATACAAAAAATAACTCAAGATGGATCAACGACTTAAATTTAAGACCTGAAACCATAAAAATTCTGAGATAACTTTGGAAAAACTCTCTAGACATTACCCTAAGCAAAGAATTCAAGATTAAGACCACAAAAGCAAATGCAACAAAAACAAACATAAACTAATGGGACCCAATTAAACTAAAAAGCTTCTGCACGGAAAAAGAAATAGTCAGCAGAGGAAACAGATAACCCAGAGTGGGAGAAAAGGAGAAAATCATCTGACAAAAGACTAGTTTTAAGAATCTATAAGGAACTCAAACAAATCAGCAAGAAAAAAAAAATTCCATCAAACAATGGCAAACGACATGAATAGATAATTCTCAAAAGATATACAAACAGTGAACATATAAAAAATGCTCACCATCACTAATTGTCAAGGAAATGCAAATTAAAACCACAATGAGATACCACCTTAATCCTGCAGAATGGCTGTAATTAATAAGTCAGAAAACAATAGATGTTGGCATGGATGTGGTGAAAAGGGAACACTTTACACTGCGGGTGGGAATGTAAACTAGTAGAACCACTATGGAAAACAGTACAAAGATTCCTTAAAAGACTAAACATACAACTACCATTCAATCCAGCAATCACACTACTGGGTATCTATCTACCCAGAGGAAAATAAGTCAGTATATCAAAAAAATACATGCATGTTTACAGCAGTATAATTTCCAGTTACAAAGATATGGAACTGGCCTCAGTGCCCATCAACCAATGAATGGAAAAAGAAAATGTGGTGTATATACACCATGGAATTCTATTCAGCCATAAAAAGGAATGAAATAGTGGCTTTTGCAGCAACTTGGATGGAGCTAGAGGCCATTATTCAAAGTGAAGTAACACAGGAGTGAAAAACCAAATATTGCATGTTCTCATCTATAAGTGGGAGTTAAAGCTACGAGATTGCAAAGGCATAAGAATAACATAGTGGACTCAGGACCTCAGGGGGAAGGTTGGAAGGGAGGTGATGGATAAAAGACTACACACTGGGTGCAGTGTACACTGCTCGGGTGACGGGTGCACCAAAATCTTAGAAATCACCACTAAAGAACTTATCCATGTAGCCAAACACCACCTCTACCCCCAAAACCATGGAAACAAAAACAAAAAGAAAAGAAAGCTCTTTGAGACACCCTGTGGTAATGGTCTCCTGACATTCTTAAGGAAGGAAATCTGCTACCTTGGCAGGTACATTTCCAGATCTCTTCCCTAAGACTTGGCTGGCCGAATCCCTGGTGTGTGATTGTGATTTCACCAGTTGCTTTGTAAAGGAAAACTAGCTATTTGATTCCTCTGTTTTCATCTTACCTCATCCTAGCAAAACATTCACTCCCAATATGTGAACTTTTATCCCATTTTAATTAAATTTATTTCTCAATTCTATACCTGAAGCTAGAAACTGTCTGAATACTGCATCTCCAGCAGTCTGCAGGGTATTCGGCAAGTCAGATATACTTAAATCATACCAGATCTCCTTCTCCCTTCATGGATTGTTTGGCTGATTTGAAAAGTAATTAGCACCATAACAGCAATAACGAGTTACTGACAGTTATTGAGACATTACGTGCCAAGCACTTTACATGGGCTACTTAGTTAATCTTCACAACAAACCCGACAGGCAGGCATTGTTATTATTCTGTTTCGTGAGTTTAAGGAAAAGAATGTCTTAAAGATTATGTGACTTGCCCAAGGTTCTTCAAACTGTTGAGACAAGGTACTGACCAAGTAGATTTTCATCAGAGCTCACATGCTTAGTTACAATTATTTCATCTCTTACAGTTTACTTATTCTGTCCACAATAGTATAATTTTTCTAATAACAGAGGCTAATTAACATTTTGGAGTTACCAACTTCAAATTTAAATACCAGTCATTAAGTGTTGTCAAGTCCTCCTTAATTTCTCACATTTATTCGTTCTTTTTATTCCCATGACCAATACCATATGCTTCCTTTGCTAGGTTTTAGCAAAAATGAATCACTAATCTCCTAGGTGCCAGTCTTTTCTATTCCAACAAAATTTGCATACAGTTGCCAGCTAATCTGCAAACAGTGCTCTCACCACTTTACCCTCTTACTCAAATATCTTTAACTACTCTTTCTTCTTTAAGATAAATTCCACAACTATAAGTGGTATTGCAGAAATTCTAACATTTACATTTCATTGTTCTTATAAATGAAGCTTCCATTCCAACAAAGAGACCTGCTAATCATGGCCTGGATGTACTCTATAAAGTCCCGACTCAGGTTTTCACACACAATTATTCCCTTGAGGAATGGACTATCCCTTTCTCTTTATTATCCAGATTCTGTCTGTGCATTATAAATGCATAATAATTTTTAAATAAATAACTACACTAAAATGTCAAAGACTATGTTGGTAGAACTCAATTATGAGAAATCATTCAAATGACCTTTCCACTCAAGCTTTGCCGACACTGCAGTTCAGCTAACATCCTTCAAGGAGATTGGTCTTGCTGCACACGGCTCTCTTGTCCACTTACTGAACAACTATCTGTAGGATAATTTTTTTTCTTGCTATAATTTGGCTTCAGGAGCTTGAGATAATCCATTTACGTTATTATAAAGGAATAAAAGAGTTATAATAAATTCCTTGAACACTTCTGTCCATTCATTGTTTGATTGAGACATAGGAATCCTAAGAATAAACTTTCTGCTCTCTCTATAATTAGAAATTTTCTGGTTTAATAACTTGATTAAATTACACAGACATCCATACTGTCAAATTAAAACTCTCACTAGAAAAGTGAGAATTTTGAGAGCATTTTAAATATACTCTACTCCAGATTCCTGTACCTTAGAGACAGCCTCACACTTGATTCTAGGTTAATTTGGGACCTCTGGGCAAAATGTTAAATATCAAAAATTTTAGCCGGGCGCGGTGGCTCACGCCTGTAATCCCAGCACTTTGGGAGGCCGAGGCGGGCGGATCACAAGGTCAGGAGATCGAGACCATCCTGGCTAACACAGTGAAACCCCGTCTCTACTAAAAATACAAAAAATGAGCGGGGCGTGGTGGCGGGCGCCTGTAGTCCCAGCTACTCGGGAGGCTGAGGCAGGAGAATGGCGTGAACCTGGGAGGCGGAGCTTGCGGTGAGCCGAGATGGCGCCACTGCACTCTGGCCTGGGCGACAGAGCGAGACTCCGTCTCAAAAAAAAAAAAAAAAGTCAAAAATTTTCTGGCATTGCCCATGTTATCAATTACCTAGGAACACGAAAGCTACTTTTGCAAACTTCTAAGCAATGTATATCACGTTTTTCTCCTTTGTAAGTACAATGATAGCATTCTTCTGCAGTGCTTTCAGACAATGTCTGTATCTACAAGCACAGAGAGATACAGGGAATTGAAAGCATAATGGTATTTAATTTGATTAATTACTTCATTATGGCCTTGGTTTTCTGTCTCCCTCTGTGAATGAAACATAGCCAAAGTAAAAATGTTCTGAAATATTCCAGGTATCGAATTACATGTAGGTGTTTTAAGGAAACATCTAAAATCCCCTGGATTATATCACCAAGTTAAGCCTTTACTAATGATGAATATTCACTGAAATCAGTTTGCATCTTCAAACTAATCCTATATCATTTTATTTCCTATTGAATCAAGTGGCAAAAAGTTTAGTTGCATTTTCTGCAATATGAAAACTGTACACTCCCAATCTCAGTGCAAGCTCGTCTCATCATGAGTTCACAATTCAGCCTACACATCTAGCTTTAAATGATCTGCAATTTGATTCTTAAATTTATAAATGTCAGATTTATGAATGGGACCTGAAGGAAAATGATGAGCAAGGTTTCAAAGTCTAGATGTAAAACACATGAAAATTTGTACACGGACAAAGTTACCTGCTCCTATTACACTACCTACCCTCTAGAGAGAGTTTAGACTAAAACGAAGGGAAAATACTACAATCCTCTTTTTTAGCTGTTAACTAGTAGACCTTCTGATCTGATATGATTTATTTCTGTCCTCACATGCAGTTGTATGTCAGGCCTGCTTTGAGCTGAGAAAGCTTCCAAGGTCTATAACAATTTGTTTTCAAATTGGCGTGTAACGGCTGGTGGATTATCATCATTGTGAGGATGGACCATGGGTCTTCTGTAGTGAGGCCACTTACTCAGCAATCAATACTCTTTCCTTCTTTCCCTGGCCCCTTCTCTGACACTGAGTCACATCAAGGCCCAAATTCCCATTTCTAGATAAGACTTTACAAGAAGGTGAAATGATGTTGATTAAGCCCACTTATAACTACAATATATATCTCCAATTTCAAATAAGATGAATGATCCACCAAACTTGTTCAGTTGTACTAGGAAAGCAACATCTCCACTCCCTTTACTGTTTTGATCCTAATGACCCAGGGGTTAAATACAGCTCTAATTGGAGTTTGATCACATTTAGTGCTTTGAGATAAACAGATGAAAATTTGAAACTGGTAAGTATATATTTAAGTGTGTGAAAGAAAAATCATCCCTGATTTAAAAACAAAAACTACGCAAACAAAATGAAATTGTCCATGTCAAAAAGTAAAATAGAAAATGGGGGGATTGCAAGCTAACAAAAAATATTTTTGCTTCATTTTAAGCTTTTTTTAAAAAGTTATCAAATAAATTACCATGATTTTAAGCTGGAATTCATGTATGGACTTGCAAGATCGTGAAGACTGTATTCCTAATTGCTATAAAAGCCCTAGCCCTGTTAAAGATGAGTCTATGTGATTAAACTTTAGAAAGACATGTTCTCAATGGCATCAAAAATAATGACTTTTTTACTGAAGGTTTTCAATTTACTTTGCCCAGATCCATCAGAGGAATCATTATCTAGGGCAGCTACAGGCTTATAACACGTAATTCTTTTTTCTTTTTGTCGTGTCTTTTCTTTTCTTCTTGAGATGGAGTCTCTCTCTGTCACCCAGGCTGGAGTACAGTGGCACGATCTCGGCTCACTGAAACTTCCTTCTCCCGGGTTCAAGCAATTCTCCTGCCTCAGCCTCTGGAGTAGCTGAGATTACAGGCAGGTGCCACCACGCCTGGCTACTTTTAATATTTTTAATAGAGATGGGGTTTCGCCATGTTGTCCAGGCTGGTCTCAAACTCCCAACCTCAAGCGATCTGCCTGCCTAAGCCTCCCAAAGTGCTGGGATAAAAGGTGTGAGCCATGTAATTCTTAAACAATAAGATTGGAAATCTAAATTAGTTCTTGATCCATGGGCTGTAGAATGAATGTTGTATTAACAGGCATAAAAACAACATTGATCTCATTGTACACCCCCATCAGAGCTCTCAGTGACAGGTGCCTTGTCAATGAGCAGTAATACTTTGAAAGAAATCCTTTTTTCTGAGCAGTCAGCTTAAACTATTTAGTAAAGCATATGGTAAGACAGATGTGCGGTCATAAAGGATTTGCTGTTCTAGTTATAGAGCATAGGCAGAGTAGATTAAGCATAAATCTTAAGACCCTAAGATTTTGAGAATAGCAAATGAGCACTGCCTTCAACTTAACCCCACCAGCTGCATTAGTCCCTAACAAAAGAGTCAGCCTGTCCTTTGATGCTTTAAAGTCAAGCATTGACTTGACTTCTCTTCTGTAGCTATGAAAGTCCTAGATGGCATCTTCTCCCAACCGAAAGCTCTTTAGTCTACATTGAAAATGTGTTGTTTAGTGTGGCCAACTTTATCAATGATCTCAGCCAGATCTTCTGGATAACTTGCTACAGCTTCTACACAAGTACTTGCTGCTTCACCTTGCACTTCTATGTTACAAAGATGGCTTCCTTCCTTAAGCCTCATGGACCAACAATCTCTGCTAGCGTCCAGCTTTTCTTCTGCAACTTTCTCACCTGTCTCAGCCTTCACAGAATTGAAGAGAGTTAGGATCTTGCTCTGGATTAGGCTTTGACTTCACGGACTGTTGTGGCTGCTGTGATCCATCTAGACCACTACAACTTTCTCCTTAGCAACAGCAAGCCTGTTTTACTTCCTTATCGTTCATGTGTCCACTAGGTTAGCACTTTTAACTTCCTTAAGGAACTTTTCCTTTGCATTCACAACTTGGCTAATTGTTTGGGACTAGAGGCCTTTTCAGCTTATCTTGGCTTTCGGCACGCCTTCCTCACTAAGCTTAACAATGTCCAGCTTTTAATTTAAAGTGGGAGATGTGCTTTCCTTTCACTTGAACGTGCAGAGGCACTGTAGGTTAGTAAGTGGTCAGTTTGATACTGTTGTGTCTAGGGGAACGGGAAGACCTAAGGACATACAGAGAAACAGGGGAACAGCTGGTCAGTGGAGCAGGCAGAACATGCACACTGTTTCTCGGTTACAGTTCACCATCTTATACAGGCACAGTTCATGGTGCTCCAAAAGATTTATAGTAGTAACCTCAAACATTACTGATCATAGATCACTAAATCAGATGTAATAATAATGAAAAAGTTTGAAATATTGAGAGAATTACGAAAATGTGACAGAGACGGGAAGTGAGCAAATGTTGTTGGAAAAATGGTGCCAATCTACAGAACTGCTCAACTCAGAGTTGCCACAAACATTTAATTGGTAAAAATCACAGTATCTCTAAATGCAATAAAGCTAAGCACAATAAAGCAAGGTATGCCTGCATTTGAATGCTTTGGGAGGGAAAAAGCCTCTAGACAAACCTCAAAAAGACTATACATATAATTGAAAGTAAATTTCATAAGAAACATTTGCATACCCTTTAATATAAATACAAGATGCCAAAAATATTTCTAATTATGATTTCTATCTTAAAAATATTTCTAATTGTAATTTCTATCTTAAAAATATTTCTAATTATAATTTCTATCTTAAAAATATTTCTAATTATAATTTCTATCTTAAAAATATTTCTAATTATAATTTCTATCTGATACTGGAGTGTGTGGTTACAGAATGAAATACCATTTTGAACCAGGAAAACTTACTTCTGGTTTTAAAATATTTCAGAGCCAAGGGAAGCAGTGAGTGAATGTGCGACCCTGGGAAACCACGCCTCTTCCACGGAACTTTGCACCCGTCGGATCAGGAGAGCCCTTGAGAGCCCACCTCCAGGGCCTTGGGTCTGACGCACAGACCTGTGTGGAGTCTGGACAGAGCAGCTGCTCGGGAATGCACAGAGACCCAGGAGCTTTCCATACTCTAGCCCTGGGCTCCCTGACGAAGGCGATGGAACTCAAACAAGGCGGAAGGTCCATACATACCCCTAGAAAGGGAGCTGAATCCAGGGGGCTGAGTGGCATCAGTACGCAGGCCCCACTTCCACAGCACCTCACAAAATAAGACCCCCTGGCGTGGAATTCCAGCCAGCCACTGGCACCAGGGTGGAGCTTGCCTGAGACAGGACGGAGCCCTGGAGGAGAGGGGCAGGCGGTCATCTTTGCTGTTTGGATAACTGAGCTGTTCCAGCCTGCTGGCTTTGGAGAGTCCAAACAGTCTGCACCAGGAAGGGTCACCCCAACGCAGCACAGCGGCTTTGCCAGCTTGTGGCCAGGCTGCTTCTTTAAGTGGGACGCTGACCTACTTACTCCTCCCTGTGGGGTAGGCCCTCCCAGCCAGGGCCTCTGGCCACCCCCACTGGTGTTCTGGGGACGGAGTTCTGATTTCTCCCTGGGAGGCCGTGCCCAGCGGGAGGGGCGTGCCGCCATCTTTGCTGTTTGGAAAACGGCCATTCCAGCCTGCGAGCTTTGGAGAGACCAAGCCCCCTGAGGCAGAGGCCGCGCCTCAGCATGTTACAGCTGTTTTGTTGAGGTGTGGTGAGGTTGCTTCTTTAAATGCGACCCTGATACATTCCTCCTCCCTGGGCAGGTCCTTCCCTCTGGAGCCTCCAGCCACCCCTGCCTGTGTTCTGTTGCGGAAAGACTTCTAATTTCTCCTTGGGGCAGAGTGCCTGCGGAGTGGGGCGGGCCGCCGCCTTGGCTGTTTGTGAAGCGGCATCGTTGTCTGGGGTAAATATCTGAGGTTCATTGCCTTATGCCAATGAAATCAAGGACAGGGGCACACATGGAGTGAGGGTAAGAGCAGAGGTTTAATAGGCAAAAGAAAGAGAAAGGAGAACAGCTCTCTGTCCCCTGAGAGTGAGGGGTGTAGGAGTGGGACCTCCAGCCCACGGTGGAGTGCACAGGGTTTTATAGACAGGCTTGAGGAGGCGGGGTCAGATTTACATACGGCCCAAAGATTGGTTGGACCAGGTCTGATATTTACATAGTGTGCGAGGAAGCTGGTGGCCCCACCCTAATCTTTTATTATGCAAATGGAGTCTCTACATGGCTGGTGCTATGTTGCCTGCTCCTTACTGTGCACATGGTTGACCAAAAAAGGGGAAGATGGAGCTGTGATGTCAGACATGTCCAGCCCACAGCCAGCCTTTTCCTGTTGGCACAGCTGCCAGCATTCACCTGTGCAAGTTTCCAGCTTGCTTGTCTATGTATGTAGCTTGATTTTACACGCTGCTCTTTGTTAGAAAAGAAAATGATATGAGTCTGCTTTTCAGTAAAAGGAATGCTTTACTGAACACTTCTTTATCCTCACTGTCTGCGTAAATAATTTCTTCTTAACTTGTATATCATTTGGGCGTCTTAGCCAGGCCAGCCTATGGGCCTTGGAAAGCCCAAAGCAATTGAAGGCTAAAAAGATCCCAACACAGCACAGCTGCTCTACCAAAACATAGCCAGACTGCTTCTTTGAGTGGGTCCCTGATCCTATTCCTCCAATCTGACTGAGACCTCCCAACCAGGGTTTCCAGCCACCTCTTACAGGTGCATTCAGGGGCAACAGGTCAATACCCTACAGGGATGGAGCTTCCAGAGGAAGGAGCAGGCTGCCATGTTTGCTGTTTTGCAGGCTTTGCTGGTGATACCTCCAAGTACTGAAAAAATGGAGGTTACTAGGGCCTGGAGCAGACCACCAGCAAACTACAGTAGCCTTATGGAAGAGTGGCCAGACTATTCAAAGAAAAACAAACAAACAACAAAAACCCCATCCAAAGGTCAGCAACCTCAAAGATTGAAGGTAGATAAGCCCACAAAGGTGAGAAAGAATCAGCGCAAAAATGCTGAAAACTCAAATATCCAGAGTGCCCCCTTTTTTCCAAATGACCGCAACACCTCTCTAGCAAGGGTTCAGAACTGGGCTGAGGCTGAGATGACTGAAATAATAGAAGTAATCTTCAGAATGTAGATAAAAGCAAACTTTGCTGAGCTAAAGGAGCACATTGTAACACAATGCAAGGAAGGTAAGAATCATGATAAAACAATGCAGCTGATAGCCAAATAACCACTATAGAGAGAAACATAACCGACCTGAGAGTTGAAAAACACATGGCAAGAACTTCACAATGCAATCACATGTAATAACAGAAGAGACGAGATGGAGAAAAGAATCTCAGAACATGAAAACTGTCTTTCTGAAATAAGACAAGCAGACCAGAATAGAAAAAAAAATGAAAAGAACAAAACCTCCAAGAAATATGGGATTATGTTAAGAGACCCAGACTATGACTGATTGGCATACCTGAAAGAGACGGGGAGAATGGAATCAATTTGAAAAAAATATTTCAGTATATCATCCAGAGAAATTCCTCAACCTAGCAAGACAGGCCAACATTCAAATTCAGGAAATGCAGAGAACCCCATTAAGATAACCCACGAACAGATCATCCCCAAGACACATAATCATCAGATTCTTCAAGGTCAAAATGATAGAAAAAATGTTAAGGGCAGCCAGAGAAAAAGGCCAGGTCACCTGCAAAGGGAAGACCATCAGACTAACAGTGAACCTCTCAGTGGGAACTCTACAAGCCAGAAGAGACTGTGGGCCAATATTCAACATTTCTAAATAAAAGAATGTCCAACCCAGAATTTCATATTAGGCCAAACTGAGCTTCATAAGAGAAGGAAAAGTAAGATCCTTTTCAGACAAGCAAATGCTGAGGGAATTCATTACCACCAGACCTTCCGTACAGGACCTCCTGAAAAAAAAAAAGTGCTAAATGTGGAAAAGAAAAACTATTACCAACCACTACAAAAACACACTTAAGTACACAGAACAGTGACACTATAAAGAAACCACATAAACAAGACTGTGAAATGACCAGCTAGCATCATGATGACAAGATGAAATCCACACATAACAATACTAATGTTAAATGTAAATAAGTTAAATGCCCCCATTAAAAGACACAGAATGGCAAGCTGGATAAAAAACCAAGACCCATTGGTATACTGTCTTCAAGAGACTCATACACAAGACACACATAGGCTCAAAATAAAGGGATGGAGGAAAATTTACCAAACAAATGGAAAACAAACAAACAAAAAACGGGTTGGAATCCTTTGTTGGTTTAAAAAAGACTTCAAATCAACAAAGATCAAAAAAGACAAAGAAGGGCATTACATAATGGTAAAGTTTTCAATTCAATAAGAAAAGCTAGGCTGGGTGCAGTGGCTCACACCTGTAATCTCAGTACTTTGGGAGGCAGAGGCAGGCAGATCAGTTGAGGTCAGGAGTTCAAGATCAGCCTGGCCAACATGGCAAAACCCTGTCTCTATTAATAATACAAAAACTGATCAAGCGTGGTGGCACACACCTATAATCCCAGCTACTTGGGAGGCTGAGGCAGGAGAATAACTTAAACCTGGGAGGCAGAGGTTACAGTGAGCTGAGATTGCACCAGTGTACTCCAGTCTAGGCAACAGAATGAAACTGTGTCTCAAAGGTTGGTTCAACATTTGCCAATCAATAAAAGTGATTCATCACATAAACAGAACTAGAGACAAAAACCACGTGATTTTCTCAATAGATGCAGAAAAGCTGTTTGATAAAATTCAACATTCCTTCATGTTAAAAACTCTCAATAAAATAGGTATTGAAGGAACATACCTCAAAATAATAAGAGCCACATATGACAAATCCATAGCCCATATCATACTGAATGAACAAAAGCTGGAAACATTTCTTTTGAAAACCAGCACAAGATAAGGATGCCCCCTCTCACCACTCCTATTTGACATAGTATGGGAAGTTGTGGCCAGGGCAATCAGGCAAGAGAAAGAAATAAAGAGTATTGAAATAGGAAGAGATGAAGTCAAACTATCTTTCTTTGCAGAAGACATGATCCTGTATCTAAAAAACAACATCTTCTCAGCCCAAAATCTTCTTGAGCTGATAAGCAACTTCAGAAAACTCTCAGGATACAAAATCAATGTGCAAAAATCACTGGCAGTCCTATACACCAACAACAGGCAAGCCGCATGCCAAATCATGAATAAACTCCCAAACACAATTGCCAAATAAAATAAAATACCTAGGAAGACAGCTAACAAGAAGAGTGAAGGACCTCTTCAAGGAAAACTGAAAAATCACTGCTCAAGGAATCGGAGATGACACATACAAATGGAAAAACATTCCATGCTCATGGATAGGGAGAATCAATATTGTGAAGATGAGCATACTGCCCAAAGCAATGTATAGATTCAATGCTATTTTCATTCAACTATCATTGATAATATTCATTGAGTTATAAATAAAAAAACTATTTTAAAATGTACATGAAACCAAAAAAAGATCCTGAATAGCCAAGGCAATCCTAGACAAAAAATACAAAGCTGGAGGCATCACACTACCTGACTTCAAGCTATACTACGGGGCTACAGTAACTACAACAGCATGGTACTGGTACAAGAACAGGCTTGTAGACCAATGGAACATAACAGAGAATTCAGAAATAAGACCACATAACTACAGCCATCTGATCTTCAACAAACCTGACAAAAACAAGCAATGGGGAAAGAATTCCCTATTCAATAAGTAGTACTGGGAGAACTGGCTAGCTATCTGCAGAAAATTGAAAGTGGACTCCTTCCTTACAGCATATAGAAAAATCAACTCAAGATGGAGTAAAGACTTAAATATAAAACCCAAAATGATAAAAACCATAGAAGAAAACCTAGGCAATACCATTCAGGATGTAGGCACGAGCAAAGATTTCATTATGAAGACACCAAAAGCAATTTTGACAAAAGCAAAAATTGACAAATGGAATCTAATTAAACTAAAGAGTTTCTGCACAGCAAAAGAAACTATCAGCAGAGTGAACAGACAACCTACAGAATTGGAGAAAATTTTTGCAATCTATCCATCTGAGAAGAGTCTAATAACCAGCATCCATAAGGAACTTAAACAAATTTACAAGAAAAAACAGGCCGGGCACAGTGGCTCACGCCTGTAATCCCAGCACTTTGGGAGGCCAAGGCGGGCGGATCACCAGGTCAGGAGATTGAGGCCATCTTGGCTAACACGGTGAAACACCGTCTCTACTAAAAACACAAAAAATTAGCTGGGCGTAGTGGCGGGTGCCTGTAGTCCCAGCTACTCAGGAGGCTGAGGCAGGAGAATGGCGTGAACCCAGGAGGCAGAGCTTGCAGTGAGCCGAGATCGTGCCACTGCACTCCAGCCTGGGCGACAGAGCAAGACTCTGTCTCAAAAAAACAAAAAAAAAAAACAAAAAAAAAACACCATTAAAAAGTAGGCAAAAAGCATGCACAGACACTTCTCAAAAAATACCTACATACAGCCAAAAAACATGAAAAAAGCTCAACATCACTGATTATTAGAGAAATGCAAACCGAAACCACAATGAAATACCATCTAACACCAGTCAGAATGGTTATTACTAAAAAGTCAAAAAACAACAGATGCTGACGAGGTTGTAGAGAAAAAGGAACACTTTTATACTGTTGGTGGGAGTGTAAATTAGTTCAACCATTGTGGAAGACAGTGTAGCGATTCCTCAAAGACCTAGAGGCAGAAATACCATGGGACTCAGCAATCCTATTACTGGGCATATATTCTAAGGAATATAAATTGTACTATTATAAAGACATATTCATGCGTATGTTCATTGCAGCACTATTTACAATAGCAAAGACATGGAATCAACCCAAATGCCCATCAATGATAAAGCTAGATAAGGAAAATGTGGTACATATACACCATGGGACACTATGCAGATTTAAAAAGGAACTAGATCATGTCCATTGCAGGGCCATGGATGGAGCTGGTGGTCATTTTCCTTAGGAAACTAACACAGGAACAAAAAAACAAATACCGCATGTGCTCACTTGTAAGTGGGAGCTGAATGATGAGAACACATGGACACATGGTGGCAGGGTGCAACACACACTGGGACCTGTCGGGGGCAGTTGGAAGAGGGAGAAGATTAGGAAGAATAGCCAATGGATGCTGGGCTTTTACCCAGGTGATGAGATGATCTGTGCAGCAAATCACCATGGCACACTTTTGCCTATAAAACAAACCTGCACATCCTGCACGCGTACCCCTGAATGTCAAATAAAGACAGTAAATTGTGCCATGCATGTGTGTATGTGTGCATATTTATATTTATCCCACATTCCTCGGAAGTCCACAGTGTGCCAAGGGTTAACAATAATTACTCATTAATTTTTTTAGTATACATTTTTATAAATACTTCAAACTTCTTTAATATGCTTTTGCAAAAATATGGATTAATATAATAAAATACAAAAGTATATTAATAAAAACTGATATTACCCTCAAAAAATATTTCAAGAAATTCATATTAGTATTTATGCAGTTGTGATGTAACATTTGTACTTGTAAAATGCTATGTAGATAAAATAATATGAGCCCTTATTGCAGTTTTCTTGAAATAACAGTACAACGAATATAATCTTCTAAAAACAGCAACAACAACAATTTCTTCATTTTCACCCATGCATGCCTAAAATAGTTCACTAGTTATGGATTAGGAAGAAGTTACCTCCAGAACTGAGTGTATTCTCTTTAGGAGAAGTTACCTCTAGAGCTGAGTGTATTCTCTTTCTACAGTGAATGAAAAAATTCTACTCAGTTTTGCCGTAGAAAAAGTCAAGCTATAACTCACACACTTTAATAGAAGTGAAAGAGACAATGTTCACTTAAGGTAGTATTTTCATAATGGCTTGATTAGAATAATTTTCTACAATAATTTCAAGTCCCCCTTTTCAAATCTAACATATTTGTAATTTCACAATTACTGATATGTGTGCATGTTTCTTCCCCTACTGCATCTCCACTGTCCTGCTTCCATGATATGCGTCTTCGTTTGGCTTGCTTCCCTCCTTTGTCGCGTGTTAAGTGGATCGGAGAGAGGCACCTGTTGGACCTTTGTCCTTCTGCTTCTGCTCCTCTCATACTTCAGACACAGTCGGGCCATGAAGGCTTTAGGCGAAGCCTCCAGAGTGAGGAGCATCCTGCTTCTCTTTCCTTGTGAAAGTGAGTGGGTGTACATTATAAATGAGCAAATAATTGGTACAAAATAGGAAAAAAATCCAACTGAATAAACACAGCTGTAGACACATACCTTTATTTGAAGAGGTGAACAAAATGCGGCAGAATCAAAGTGGGAGCTAGAATATATGTGACATCTAAATTGTATCAACACCATCAAGCCCCTCAAAACCTAAATCCCACACTTACTAGCTAAACAACCTTTGATGAGTCTTTGAATAACTTTTGAGTCTTATTTGGTTTATTTATAAAATAAGAAAATAGACCCTGTATGAACATGAAATAATGTGTTGCATGTAAAAATACCTGGTACGTGATGGGCAACATTATTTTGAACTTCATAGGCTACTGAGAACAAAGCTACTTAGACATTCAATAATATGAATAAAAGAAAAGATAATTATAAACAATTATGTGGGCGCTGAGTACATATATTCAGTTCTTCTACAAATATTTACTATGTGGAAGGCTTTTCTCATTCTAAGGACACAGCAGTGAACAAAACAGTAAAATACGTACCTTCACAGAGCTTACCGTCTAGCAATAATAACTCCTGTCATATGTGATACATGGTTAAAATGTTTTCAGCACATATTTCTTAAGTAGCTAATTTATGATATCGTTACCAAAACACTAGGGGTTCAGTCCAGGTCCTACTGCTCACTGCACAGAACCGCAGTCATTGAGAAGAGTTTTGCCAAAGAAGAAGGCTTTAATTGGATGCACCAGCCCAGGAGATGGGGGCTCAGTTTCAAATCCATCTCCCTGAGGGACTAAAACTAGGGGTTTATATAGCAGAGAAGAAATGTAACTGTGTAGGAAAACAGGAACCCGGGAGGGGCGAGGAAGGGATCCTGGTGAATGAGGGGTGGCATCCCATTGTCTGGTGTGGTGATCTGGTTTCAGTTATTTGATACTTTTTTGGAGCAGCCTGTAGGTCATTTCCTGAGAAAGAAACTCAGATACAACCAATGTAAGCGTTAAGCTTTAAGACCCAGAATGGCCAATTTCTATGTTTATCAGAAAGAACTCTTTATAGGACTATTAGTTGGGTTTCAGTGTGGTTTGTAGCCTTGCTTATTGTCTGAGTGGTTCCATGAACAACGTCCCCACCAAATCTCTCAGATTGGACTGTCACCCTGATTATTCTCTCATAAGTAGCTATTGACAGCGAAATTCGAGTTAATTTAAGAACAATTTCACTCAGCAGTATTCTCTGAGAGTAAGAGTGGTGGTCGATCTGTTTTCTAAGAATGTGGCAACGGACTTCCAGCACTTACTAATCCAGGCTAAGAGCAGGTGGTTGCAATCTGCAGCAGTTTTACTTAGCTGCTTTTCTTCATTTTGCAAGCTTTGCTTTCTCAAGTTCAATGACACTGCACCTGAGAACTCATCAGTATGTAAAGACAGGCACGCCTGCCTACAGTAAACATGAATCTCTCTTAAAAAAAAAATTAAGAACACCACGAGACAGCACTTTCTTTTGTAGGATTTGTCACTCATCATTTCAAGGATTGTGTTTTTCTGGGGATGAAGCTTGTTTTGTTTTGTTTTTAAATTTGTCATTGATCCAAACTGTGAAGATGCACAGGTGTGAGGATTTAAATGGCTGTGATTGACCTGCCCACCGACAGGGAATTCTAATGAGGAAATTAAGGTTGTTGTCGGTGTGTGCCAGCTTGATTGTACTATCCAACATTAACTCATGATCTCCAAGATGCTTAGCATGCCACAAGGCGATCCTTCCCATTTTTCTCTAAAACCTTCTGGTAAATCATATTATGCACGTAACTAACAATAGCATACCTAGACCGGGCAACGTCATGGATTTATTTTAATTTTTTTGAAAAACAGGTTGTCAGACAAGCTTGAGTCAGTCCCAGTTAACACCATCCACAAGGCATCCACGTTCTGTAATCCCCAGGCACCTCTTTCTGACCAGTGAAGGGGCAATGTTCATTTAAGGCAATCTTTCCGTAATGGTTTGATTACAATAATTTTCCACAATAATTTCAAATCTAACCAGTTTGTAATTTCACAATTATTGAGGAGGCAGGTATGGAAAAAAACAACTTAGAAGATCTTCTTGAAGACCACAAATAAACTCTAGATACATGTGAACATACCTCGTGGGAAATGAGAACTGGCTAAGCCATGAGAGGCAATGGGTTACAATGGTGAAAGCAAAGGGCCTTTTTGATCCCAAGCACATACAGTCAAGTGCAGTGTGGGAGTGGGTGAGGATGGGGAGAGGCGTAATAGGTATGATCGTAGGAGAGAAATTATGACTTACACTTGGGAAAGGGCTGGTGGAGAAGCTGAAAGAGATAAGCTGTGGATGACAAGAGTTAATGGTTGAGATTATGTGATCTGTTACTTCCAATGACGATCTGATAATAATGGCTGTCCTACCATCCCCAGAAAAGTAAATAAATAGGAAAGATAATAACTTATGCAAGCCAGAATGTGGCATAGCTATACTGCACCTCAGAGCTGAGTAATTTCCAAAACATAATTCTGCTATCCTCAGAAGAAGTGACTCACAATTTGAAACTCCAAGAGAAATTATGTCACTAAAATCATTGGAAATTTTAAGAATATATACATAGAATTTTTTATCCTTAGGTAATTCTTTCATATTTGCTAAGTCCTTCCAAGTCTTTCTGACTAGTGATCTCTTTATCTGTCTAGCCAAGTGGGTGCTCATGGAAAGCTAAATTTATGAAGATTTAAATAAATTTTTTTAAAAATCCCACTTTGCTTTCCAAATATTTTATTTTCACAGATGAAATCTTTCTAAAAAAATTAACATTCATAAATCAGAGCTTAATGAACTGGTTTAAACAATCTATTTTCAGTAAATAACAGATGGTCAAAGAATAACAGGTACTTACACATTCTTCTTTCCACAATGGCTGTACGTGAAGCATATTCACCTCTTCAAACAAAATTCAACGTTCACGGCTACTTGTTCTTTTCAACTCCTGTGACCCTGAATTTTACAAGAACTGCTCTTGTCCTTACACGTGGTTTTTCTCCGAAAGGGAGGGTTTTTTAAAATAAATAATCATTGATTTTTTTCTTTTCTTTTTTATTTTTATTTTTTATTTTTTTGAAACAGAGTCTCACTCTGTCATCCAGGCTGGAGTACAGTAGTGTGATCTGGGCTCTCTGCAAGCTCCGCCTCCGGGGTTCAGGCGATTCTCCTGCCTCAGCCTCCTGAGTAGCTGGGACTACAGGTGCCCGCCACCACGCCCGGCTAACTTTTTGTATTTTTAGTTGAGACAGGATTTCATCATGTTGGTCAGGCTGGTCTCAAACTCTTCACCTTGTGATCCGCCCACCTCGGCCTCCCAAAGTGCTGGGATTACAAGTGTGAGCCACTGTGCCCGGCCTCATTGATTTTTTTAGTAGTGTTAACAAATGAAATCTAGATTAATTATGTTCATAATTTTTTTGTTTCCTTGGAAACAAAACCATCTCACATAAAACCAATCAGTAGTAAGTTATCTTTAAATTCGCAACCACAAAGCAAGAAAAATCCATAATTTTAAAACTTCACAAGTAGGAATGATTCAGTTTTTAATGCTTTTAAGTCATTACTTATTAAAATGCTAAAATTTGAGTTTTTGGTC